>NW_019805500.1:0-160138 GCF_000001405.40 Homo sapiens
TTTGACATTTATGTAGTGTAGATGTAGTGTGTGGGTTATCAGATGGTGATCTCTAGTTAGGTTCTGGGAACTATCTGGGTTTTGCATGTGAGAGTAACTCAGTCCAGAAAGTTAAAAATGGACTGGGTGAAGAAGGAAGGGATGGTGGATTCAAGGTCTGCCCAACTCAGGAATAGTGGTTTTCCTGCCCCTAAACCAAAGCCTCGTCATCCTCATCAGTATCATAATGGCCATTTGTGTGCACAGCATCGTAAGGGAAGGGCCTTATCGTTAACTCATGCGTTTCTTAAAACACCCTGTGACCCATTTTGCAGATGAGAGAGCTGACTCTTCATAATCACATGACAAATGAGTGCATACCCAGAATTTGAGCCTGTGACTCTACATTCTGAGCTTTGATCTATTACTATTTGATCTATTACTGCTGACTATAGATATAGGTTGGAATGAATGTAGTAAAGTTTTAGGATACAAAAATCAGTAGCAATTCTACGCACCAACAACCGTTGAGCTAAGAACCAAATCAAGAAGACAATCCCCATTACAATAGCTATAAAAACATATAAAATACCTAGCACTATATTTAACCAAGGAGGTGAAAGATCTCTGCAAGAAAAACTCTAAAAGACCGATGAAAGAAATCCTAGGTGACACAAACAAATGGAAGAACATTCCATACTCATGGATCAGAAGAATTAATACCATTAAATGACCATAGTGCCCAAAGCAATCTCTAGATTGATGTAATCCCTATCAAAATACCAGTGTCATTTTTCAGATAAAACAAACTTAAAATATGTTTAGGCTGGGCGTAGCAGCTCATGGCTGTAATCCCAGCAGTTTGGGAGGCTGAGGTGGGTGGATCACTTGAGGTCACAAGTTTGAGACCAGCCTAACCAACATGGTGAAACCCTATCTCTACTAAAAATACAAAACTCAGCCAGGAGTAGTGGTGCATGCCTGTAATCCCAGCTACTCAGGAGGCTGAGGCAAAAGAATTGTTTGAACCTGGGAGGTGGAGGCTGTAGTGAGCCGCGATCATGCCACTGCACTCCAGCCTGGGCGATGGAATGAGACTCCATCTCAAAAAAAAAAAAAAAAAAAAAAAGTTTTTAAAAAAAGGCCCGGAAATTGTGGCTCATGCCTGTAATCCCAGTGCTTTGGGAGGCTCAGATGGGAGGATTCCTTGAAGCCAGGGGTTTGAGACCAGCCTGGGCAACAAAATGAGGCCCCATCTTTAGATAGAGTTTTTAAAAAGACAGATATAGTTTGGCAGATTATTTTCTTAACAATGTAAAGACTCTAGAGAAAGCTGAGGTTGAGTGTTTCTGAACTTGAGAAAAGTGTTTTGTAGTTTTTGGCCATATCCCTATATGTGGAGTGGGACAAAGTCAATTAGCCATCCGAGAGTTCTCTAGACTCATGAAAGGCAAGAAGACAGCAAAGACAAAGTTGGCCGTCCTCAATGGCTCTTAACCTATGACCTATGGGAGTTGGTGTATCAATACCCAGCTCCCTCACTGCCCTTAAGTGCCTGTTCTATACCATTCACCAGAGCTTTGCAGCCCTCGTTGCCCACAGGAGTAGCTTGATTGATAACACTGTACATTGACTTCTTTCCCTTTTTTATCTCACTACTTTCACCTCTCACATCAACTACAAATGCTTGTCTTAGGGTCTTCTCCTGAGAGAACCCAAACTAAGACACAAGGAAACCTCAAATTCTTTGTTTTTTGTTTAACTTGCATTGTGTTTGCATCTTTTTGAACTAGGCTAGTCATGTCATCAAGTTTATCCATCTGCATTCAATTAAATTTTTAGACAGAGGTCCCTTGCTGTTGCCCAGACTGGATAGCAGTGGTATGATCCAATCACAGCTCACTGCAACCTCAAACGCCTGGGCTTGAGTCAGCCTTCTGCCTCAGCCTCCCAAGTAGCTGGAACTACAGGTGCATGCCAGCACAACCAACTAGTTCAAATTTTTTTTGTAGAGATAGGGTCTCACTCTGTTGCCCAGTCTGGCCTCAAACTCCCAGCCTTAAGTGATCCCCCTGCCTTGGCATCTGAAAGTGCTCAGATTACAGGCATGAACCATGCCCAATCCCATCTGCATTTATTATGCAATGTCTAGGGTAATATTGGGCAGATTACAACAGAATTTAGAACTAGTTTTAACTTAAGCTTACTAGTAGAAGAATTCTAAAATAAAAGGGGAGGCAAGATATAAATCAAAAGGATTTGGTCAAAGAGAAGATACTTGTATTGCTGTAGTTCCTGCCACGTTTCCATTGGTTGAAATACAGTTGATTGTCTACAGTGCAGCCTTACCAGTGATAAGGGGCTGTCTTCTTTAATCTTCCTTTTTAATTTGCTTCCTAATTACTTTAAAGGAAGAACTCTTTGGCACTGAAAATTACTCTAGATTGTAACCAAAAAAAGATCCAGAACCTTTTTTTTTTTTTTTCTATTTCTTTTAATCTTCATTCAGGGGCATAGTATAATTGAATTAAGACGCTACCAGTGGGTGAATTACAGGATAATAATTCAGACCTTTCTGTTTAATAGGGGCTGGCCTGTGGCCTTGAGTCCACTAGATCTGAAGGGTGAATTACTGCTCCATAACTCACTAGCTCCCATTTAAAGAGACCCTGGTTAAAGAGAATTAACATCAACAACCAAGTCAGGAAAAGGCAACCCAAGACCTAAGAGTAAGAGATGAGGATAACACAGAAATGAATTTGGAAAGTTCTGGCTTCTCACTTCAAAGAAGGCAGGCTTCAGAGAATAAAAAACCTTCCATAAAAAACCAAAGGCCTCTCTGCTCAGCAGAGCTCTGGGTGTTTTTTCACCAAAGCCCTGGCAAACATACCCAGATGTCTCAAGCATGCATCCTTTCAGATCTAATAAAATGACTAACTGGGCTTTAAACCTAGCCTGGATATGGGCGAGGTGTCCGGCAGTTACCTGCACCTTGAACAGAGTGGACAATAACACCCAAAGTCCTTCTTTCTGTCTTCCCTAAAGTGTATGTATGTTATTTATTTATTGTTTATTTATTTAGTCTCACTCTGTCATCCAGGCTGGAGTGCAGTGGTGTGATCTCGGCTCACTGCAGCCTCTGCCTCCTGGGTTCAAGTGATTTTTCTGCCTCAGCCTCCCAAGTAGCTGAGATTATACACATGTGTCACCATGCCTGGCTAATATTTGTGTTTTTAGTAAAAATGGGGTTTCACCATGTTGTCCAGGCTGGTCTCAAACTCCTGGCCTCAAGTGATTTGCCCACCTCAGCCTCGCAAAGTGCTGAGATTACAGGTGTGAGCCACCATGCCCGGCCCCTGATGTGATGTTTTTCTAGCTGATGCCTGAAATGTCACCATTAGCAATTTTTTTTTTTAAAGTAAAAGCTGACATCCTTCTGTTTCCTCTTTTCCAAAAAAGAGTTGACAGTGGACATAAGTTAAATATTATAGCACTTAAGTCATAGATATGAATTCAGATCTAAACTTCATTGACTGTGAAATCAAAGGGAAATTGCCTACCCTCTCTGGTTTCAAGTTTCTCATCTATAAAGCAGGGATTGTAATAGTCCCAACTTCTTAGGGCTGTCATAAAAGTTAGATAAAAGAATGGATATGAAACATAGAAAAATGGCTGACGTGGAGTAAGACTTCAATAAAGAATAAGCATTATTCCACTGCACTCCAGCCTGGGCGACAGAGTGAGACTCCATCTCAAAAAGAAAATAAGCATTATTATCGAAAAATATCCTTTAGAGACTGAAGGATGTGAAGAATTGCATTGCTGATTTTAGTTTCTAGAATAAGAATGTCATCCAGTGTAAGAGAAAAAGGGTGATCAATTCAATGTGGTTCATAGATATCATTCTCTAAGATGGCATGAATTGATAGTTCACCGTCTTTGGGGTAAACCCAACTTTTGTGAATTTCTAAAATCCAAGAGACAACCACCTCAGCTGCAAAGGATCTCATCCAGCTTAGGAGGTCAGTAGCAGCTGATAGGACAGGTTCCATTTTCACTTCCTCTTAGACATCTTGCCTGTCTCTGCCAACCTTCTGCTATCTGTCCCAGACTTTTACTTAAAGATAAAAAGAGAATGCTTATAATTCATTACAGTTCATTAAAATGAAAATAAAATTTATTTTGCATCAAAATGAAAAAAAGACTCATTTATTATTAGCATATAAATGGCATTTTTAAATGTCACTCTGCCTCAAAATCACTTACATTTTCAGTGATCATAGCACACAAAATTAATTTTTGATAGCCTTTTGTGATTTGGCTGGAAATTCTTATTTCTTTTTGTGCTTTAAACAGCAAACTGTATCCACTGCTATTCATAGCAAATTTTAGATAATGAAGCAATTAAAAATACATGGATTTAAGATCTTATCTCATTTTTCCTTTGGCCTATTTCTGCTTCATTATTCATGAAGGGATATGTTTAATTCAGAGTTAGTAATTGCAGATATATCTAGTATAAATTGTGCCTCATATTCTTTACCCATTTCAATTTATTTTAGCAAATAGATCTCTGTTTGAAAAAAAAGTCATTGAGAGAGGGTGAGTATGACAAAAATGCAGAAATCTGCGTGTATGTGTATATTGATTGACATATCCAAACCAGATCTCAAAAATGTTAATAACCACATTTCCTGAGGTTTTACCAAGAGCCAGGCACTGTGCTGAACAATTTTACACAGCATTTCACTCAATCCTAAGAGTAACTTTAGGAGGGCTGTATAGTTAGTGCTCCCATTTTTTAGATACGGAGACTGAGGCTCAGGTCAAAAAAGTGGCCTGAAGTCACATCATTAGAAATGACAAAGAACCAGAATTGGAACTTGGCTTGTCTGTCTCCACAGCCTCTGTATTAGACCATTCATCTCCTGTGTTCTAGAACAAAGTGTATTAAAGCCTCAAAGAGATTTGTCAAAGGCTGCTAAAATCGTCCTGCAGTTCCACCTAACAGCATCCAAAGTTCATAAAGTTGCTGGTCTGAGGAGCTGTGACTTATTTGGTTTCCATGAGCTCTAAATATATTTTAGGAATTTATCCTAGAGAAATAACAGGTACACATGGTTTCTTTTTTTTTCTTTCTTTTTTTTAAGTTCTAGGGTACACGTGCACAACATGCAAGTTTGTTTCATAGGTATACATGTGCCATGTTGGTTTGGGGCAACCATCACCTCGTCATTTACATTAGGTATTTCTCCTAATGCTATCCCTCCCCCAGTTCCCCACACCCCAATAGGCCCCAGTGTGTGATGTTCCCCTCACTGTGTCCATGTGTTCTCATTGTTCAACTCCCACTTATGAGTGAGAACATGTGGTGTTTGGTTTTCTGTCCTTGTGATATTTTGCTGAGAATGATGGTTTCCAGCTTCATCCATGTCCCTACTAAGGACATGAACTCATCCTTTTTTATGGCTGCATGGTATTTCATGGTGTATATGTGCCACATTTTCTTTTTTTATTTTTTTTTTATTATTTTGTTTTATTATTATACTTCAAGTTTTAGGGTACATGTGCACAACGTGCAGGTTTGTTACATATGTATACATGTGCCATGTTGGTGTGCTGCACCCATTAACGCGTCATTAGCATTAGGTATATCTCCTAATGCTATCCCTCCCCCCTCCCCCACCCCACAACAGTCCCCAGTGTGTGATGTTCCCCTTCCTGTGTCCATGCGTTCTCATTGTTCAATTCCCACTTAGGAGTGAGAACATGCAATGTTTGGTTTTTTGTCCTTGCGATAGTTTGCTGAGAATGATGGTTTCCAGTTTCATCCATGTCCCTACAAAGGACATGAACTCATCATTTTTTATGGCTGCATAGTATTCCATGGTGTATATGTGCCACATTTTCTTAATCCAGTCTATCATTGATAGATGTTTGGGTTGGTTCCAAGTCTTTGCTATTGTGAACAGTGCCACAATAAACATATGTGTGCATGTGTCTTTATAGTAGAATGATTTATAATCCTTTGGGTATATACCCAGTAATGGGATTGCTGGGTCAAATGGTTATTTCTAGTTTTAGATCATTGAGGCATCACCACACTGTCTTCCACAATGGTTGAACTAATTTACACTCCCACCAACAGTGTAAAAGCGTTCCTATTTCTCCACATCCTCTCCAGAATCTGTTGTTTCCTGACTTTTTAATGATCACCATTCTAAATGGCATGAGATGCTATCTCATTGTGGTTTTGATTTGCATTTCTCTGATGACCAGTGATGATGAGAATTTTTTCATATGTCTGTTGGCTGCATAAATGTCATCTTTTGAGAAGGGCCTGTTCATATCCTTTGCCCATTTTTTGATGGGGTTGTTTTTTTCTTGTAAATTTGTTTAAATTCTTCGTAGATTCTGGATATTAGCCCTTTGTCAGATGGATAGATTGCAAAAATTGTCTCCCATTCTGTAGGTTGCCTGTTCACTCTGATGATAGTGTCTTTTGCTGTGCAGAAGCTCTTTAGTTAAATTAGATCCCATTTGTCTATTTTGGCTTTTGTTGCCATTGCTTTTGGTGTTTTAGTCATGAAGTCTTTGCCCATGCCTATGTCCTGGATGGTATCGCCTAGGTTTTCTTCTAGGATTTTTATGGTTTTCGGTCTTCCATTTAAGTCTTTAATCCATCTTGAATTAATTTTTGCGTAAGGTATAAGGAAGGGATCCAGTTTCAGCTTTCTACATACGGCTAACCAGTTTTCCCAGCACCATTTATTAAATAGGTAATCCTTTCCCCATTTCTTGTTTTTGTCAGATTTGTCAAAGATCAGATGGTTGTAGGTGTGTGGTGTTATTTGAGGCCTCTGTTCTATTCCATATGTCTATATATCTGTTTTGGTACCAGTACCATGCTGTTTTGTTTACTGTAGCCTTGTAGTATAGTTTGAAGTCAGGTAGCATGATGCCTCCAGCTTTGTTCTTTTTGCTTAGGATTGTCTTGGCTATGTGGGCTCTTTTTTGGTTCCATATGAAATTTAAAGCAGTTTTTTTCCAATTCTGTGAAGAAAGTCAGTGGTAGCTTGAGGGGAATAGCATTGAATCTATAAATTACCTTAGGCAGTATGGCCATTTTCATGATATTGGTTCTACCTATCCATGAGCATGGAATGTTTTCCATTTGTTTGTGTCCTCTCTTATTTCCTTGAGCAGTGGTTTGTAGTTCTTCTTGAAGAGGTCCTTCACATCCCTTGTAAGTTGGATTCCTAGGTATTTTATTCTCTTTATAGCAATTGTGAATGGCAGTTCACTCATGATTTGGCTCTCTGTCTGTTATTGGTGTATAGGAATGCTTGTGATTTTTGCACATTGATTTTGTATCTTGAGACTTTGCTGAAGTCGCTTATCAGCTTAAGGAGATTTTGGGCTGAGACAATGGGTTTTCTAAGTATATAATCATGTCATCTGCAAACAGAGACAATTTGACTTCCTCTTTTCCTAACTGAATATCCTTTATTTCTTTCTCTTGCCTGATTGCCCTGGCCAGAACTTCCAATGCTATGTTGAATAGGAGTGTCAAGAGAGGGCATCCTTGTCTTGTGCCAGTTTTCAAAGGGAATGCTTCCAGTTTTTTCCCATTCATTATGATACTGGCTGTGGGTTTGTCATAAATAGTTCTTATTATTTTGAGATACATTCCATCAATACCTAGTTTATTGAGAGTTTTTAGCATGAAAGGCTGTTGAATTTTGTTGAAGGCCTTTTCTGCTCTATTGAGATAATCATGTGGCTTTTGTCTTTCATTCTGTTTATGTGATGGATTACGTTTATCGATTTGTGTATATTGAACAAGCCTTGCATCCCAGGGATGAAGCTGAGTTGATCATGGTGGATAAGCTTTTTGATGTGCTGCTGGATTCAGTTTGCCAGTATTTTATTGAGGATTTTCGCATCGATATTCATCAGGGATATTGGCCTAAAATCCTCTTTTTTTGTTTTGTCTCTGCCAGGCTTTGGTATCACGATGATGCTGGCCTCATAAAATGAGTTAGGGAGGATTCCCTCTTTTTCCATTGATTGGAATAGTTTCAGACAGAATGATACCAGCTCTTCTTTGTACCTCTGGTAGAATTTGGCTGTGAATCCATCTGGTCCTGGACTTTTTTTGGGTGGTAGGCTATTAATTATTGCCTCCATTTCAGAACCTGTTATTGGTCTATTCAGAGATACAACTTCTTCCTGGTTTAGTCTTGGGAGGGTGTGTGTGTCCAGGAATTTATCCATTTCCTCTAGATTTTCTAGTTTAATAACATAGAGGTGTTTATAGAATTCTCTGATGGTAGTTTGTATTTCTGTGGGATCGGTGGTGATACCTCATTTATCATTTTTTATTGCATCTATTTGATTCTTCTCTCTTTTCTTCTTTATTAGTCTTGCTAGTGGTCTGTTTTGTTGAACTTTTCAAAAAACCATCTCCTGGATTCATTGATTTTTTTGAAGAGTTTTTTATGTTTCTGTCTCCTTCAGTTCTGCTCTCATCTTAGTTATTTCTTGTCTTCTGCTAGCTTTTGAATTTGTTTGGTCTTGCTTCTCTAGTTCTTTTAATTGTGATGTTAGCATGTCAATTTTAGATCTTTCCTGCTTTCTTTTATGGGCATTTAGTGCTATGAATGTCCCTCTACACACTGCTTTAAATGTGTCCCAGAGGTTCTGGTAGTTTGTGTCTTTGTTCTCATTGGTTTCAAAGAACATCTTTATTTCTGCCTTCATTTTGTTATATACCCAGTAGTCATTAAGGATCAGGTTGTTCAGTTTCCATGTAGTTGTGCAGTTTTGAGTGAATTTCTTAATCCTGAGTTCTAATGTGATTGCACTGTGGTCTGAGAGACAGTTTGTTGTGATTTTTAGTGTTTTACATTTGCTGAGGAGTGTTTTAATTCCAATTATGTGGTCAATTTTAGAATAAGTGTGTTGTGGTGCTGAGAAGAATGTATATTCTATTGATTTGGGGTGGAGAGTTCTGTGGATGTCTATTATGTCCACTTGGTCTGGAGCTGAATTCAAGTCCTGGATATCCTTGTTAATTTTCTGTCTTGTTGATCTGTCTAATATTGACAGTGGGGTGTTTAAGTCTCCTGTTATTAGTGTGTGGGAGTCTAAGTCTCTTTGTAGGTCTCTAAGAACTTACTTTATGAATCTGGGTGTTCCTGTATTGAGTGCGTATATATTTAGGATAGTTAGCTCTTCTTGCTGAATTGATCCCTTTACCATTATGTAATGGCCTTCTTTATCTCTTTTGATCTTTGTTGGTTTAAAGTCTGTTTTATCAGAGACCAGGATTGCAACCCCTGCTTCTTTTTTTGCTTTCCATTTGCTTGGTAGATCTTCCTCCATCCCTTTATTTTGAGCCTAGGTTTGTCTTTTCACGTGAAATGGATCTCCTGAATACAGCACACTGATAGGTCTTGACTCTTTATCCAATTTGCCAGTCTGTGTTTTTTCATTGGGGTATTTAGCTCGTTTACATATAAGGTTAATATTGTTATGTATGAATTTGATCCTGTCATTATGATGCTAGCTGGTTATTTTGCCCGTTAATTTATGCAGATTCTTCATAGTGTCAATTGTCTTTACAATTTGGCATGTTTTCACAGTGGCTCATACTGGTTGTTCTTTTCCATATTTAGTCCTTCCCTCAGGAGCTCTTGTGAGTCAGGCCTGCTGGTGACAAAATCTCTCAGCATTTGCTTGTCTGTACAGGATTTTATTTCTCCTCCACTTATAAAGCTTAGTTTGGCTGGATATGAAATTCTGGGTTGAAAATTCTTTAAGAATGTTGAATATTGGCCCCCACTCTCTTCTGGCTTGTAGGGTTTCTGCAGAGAGATCTGCTGTTAGTCTGATGGGCTTCCCTTTGCGGGTAACCCAACCTTTCTCTCTGGCTGAACTTAACACTTTTTCCTTCTTTTCAACCTTGGCGAATCTGACAATTATGTGTCTTGGGGTTGCTCTTCTTGAGGAGTATTTTGTGGTGTTCTTTGTATTTCCTGAATTTCATTGTTGGCCTGCCTTGCTAGGTTGGGGAAGTTCTCCTGGATAATATCCTAAAGAATGTTTTCCAACTTGATTCCATTCTCCCTGTCACTTTCAGGTACGCCAGTCAAACGTAGATTTGGTCTTTTCACATAGCCCCGTATTTCTTAGAGGCTTTGTTCATTTCTTTTCATTCTTTTTTCTCTAATCTTGTCTTCTTACTTTATTTCATTAATTTGATCTTCAATCACTTGTATCCTGTCTTCTACTTGATGGAATCAGCTACTGAAGCTCGTGTATGCTCCCCGAAGTTCTCGTGCTGTGGTTTTCAGCTCCATCAGGTCATTTAAGCTCTTCTCTATACTGGTTATTCTAGTTAGCCATACGTCTAACCTTTTTTCAAGGTTTTTAGCTTCCTTGCGATGGGTTAGAACATGCTCCTTTATCTCGGAGAAGTTTGTTATTATTGACCTTCTGAAGCCTACTTCTGTCAACTCGTCAAACTCATTCTCCATCCAGTTTTGATCCCTTGCTGGCAAGAAGTAGTGTTCTTTGGAGGAGAAGAGGTGTTCTGGCTTTTGGAATTTTCAGCCTTTCTGCTCTGGTTTCTCCCCATCTTTGTGGTTTTATCTACCTTTGGTTTTTGATGTTGGTGACCTATGGATGGGGTTTTGGTGTGGATGTCCTTTTGTTGATGTTGATGCTATTCCTTTCTGTTTGTTAGTTTTCCTTCTAACAGTCAGGCCCCTCAGCTACAGGTCTGTTGGAGTTTGCTTGAGGTCCACTCCAGACCGTGTTTGCCTAGGTATCACCAGCGGAGGCTGCAGAACAGCAAATCTTTTTGCCTGATCCTTCCTCTGGAAGCTTCATCCCAGAGGGGCACCTGCCTGTATGAGGTGTCTGTCAGCCCCTACTGGGAGGTGTCTCCCAGACAGGCTACACGGGGGTCAGGGACCCACTTGAGGAGGCAATCTGTCCGTTATTGGAGCTTGAACACCATGCTGTGAGAACCACTGCTCTCTTCAGAACTGTCAAGCAGGGACTTTTTCCATGTGGTATCTTTTAATACAAGTTGTCACAGGGTTTTATACACCAGTAAAAAAGCAGGAAAGAGGAAAGAAAAAAGGAAATGGCTCAACAATGTTCAATTATATGTTAAATAAATCCTGATGCATTTATTTAGTATTATACTGTAACACCATCAAAAATGAGTTGTGAGGCCAAGGCAGGTGGATAGCTTGAGTCCAGGAGTTCAAGACCAGCCTGGGAAACATAGTGAGACCCCATCTCTACAAGAATAAACAAAACTAGCTGGACATTGTTGCACGTGCCTGTAGTGCCAGCTACTTGGGAGGCTGAGGAGGGAGGATTATTTGAGCCTGGGAGGTCGAGGCTGCAATGAGCTAGGATGGCACCACTGCACTCCAGCCTCGGCGATAGAGTGAGATCCAGTCTCAAAAAGAGAATCTTAGTTTACTGACATGTAAAAAATGTGTCTGCAGGTTATAAAAGTGGCAGGTCCATAAAACAATATATGTAATGTATCCCTTTTCTAAAAAAAAAAAACTACATATGTGTATATATATGTGTAAATGAGGAAAGAGAGAAGCCAGGACATCTCAGCTTTTCTGAGATTTTGCACAACAAAAACATAACACAAGCCACATATGTAATTTAAAATTTTCTTTTTTATTTATTATTATTATTTCTTTTTTATTTTATTATTTTTTCTCCCCCACTTGTAAATAGCATTATTGCTTTACTGATGATCAGCTTTGTTTTATAAAAAACTCAGAAAATTCAGTAAAGTATGCACAAGAAAGGAAAAATGTCATAACTACACCAGCCAAAGATCAGTCCCCTGTATCTAACAGTGTGTGTGAATCTTGCTAGACCTGCCCTGTGCTATTTGGTGGTCATGAGCCACGTGACTCCTGAGCACTGGAAGTGTGGCTGGTCCAAACTGAGACGTGCTGTAAGTGTCAAAGACATGCTGGATTCCAGAGATTTAGAACCAAAGAAGATAGTACAATATCTCATTAATAATTTTTCTATTGGTTACAGGTTGAAATGCTAATATTTGAAGTATTTAAAAATAAAATATGCTACTAAAATTAATTTTACCTGTTTTTTCACTTTTTATTATAGCTATTAGAAAATTTTAAATTTCTCATGCCTGTAATCCCAGCACTTGGGGAGGCCGAGGCAGGCAGATCACCTGAGGTCAGGAGTTTGAGACCAGCCTGATGAACATGGGGAAACGCCACCTCTAATAAAAATACAAAAATTAACCGGGCATGGTGGTGCGTGCCTGTAATCCCAGCTACTCAGGAGGCTGAGGAAGCATTGTTTGAACCCAGGAGGCAGAGGTTGCAATGAGCCAAGATTGCGCCACTGCACTGCACCCTGGGCGAAAGAGTGAAACTCCGTCTCAAAAAAAATTAATATTTTGATACAGCCATGCAATGTGAAATAATCAAATCATGGAGAATGGAGTATCCATCCCCTGAAGCATTTGTCCTTTGTGTTAGAAACAATCCAATTAAGCTCCTTTAGTTATTTAAAAATGTACAATTAAGTTATTGACTATAGTCACCCTGTGTGGTATCAAATAGTAGGTCTTATTTATTCTTTTTTTTTTTTGGAGACAGTCTCGCTCTGTCACCCAGGCTGGGGTGTAGTGGCATGATCTGGGCTCACTGTAGCCTCTGCCTCCTGAGTTCAAGCGATTCTTGTGCTTCAGCCTCCCAAGTAGCTGGGATTTCAGGCATGCACCACCACGTTTGGCTAATTTTTTATATTTTTAGTAGAGATGGGGTTTCGCCATGTTGTCCAGGCTGGTCTCAAACTCCTGAGCTCAGGCAATCTGCCCGCCGTGGCCTCCTGAAATGCTAGGATTATAGGCACGAACCACCATGCCTGGCCTTATTTATTTCTAGGTATTTCTTTGTTCTCATTAACATTCTCCCTGTCACCCCACTATTCTTTCCAGCCTCTGTTAACCATCCTTCTACTCTCTATCTCCATAAGTTCATTGTTTTTATTTTTAGATCCCACAAATAAATGAGAACATGCAGTTTGTCTTTCTGTGCCTGGCTTATTTCACTTAACATAATGACCTCCAGTTCCATCTATGTTGTTGCAAATGACAGGACCTCATTCTTTTTCATGGCTGAATAGTACTCCAAATGGAAAGTCTCTTTAGTGATCTTCTGACTCAGTCAATAAAATGCATCAATATTCCACTGGGTATGCATGCCTCTATTCTAGATTCTGGAGGTACTGGAGAAAACAAAACAGGCAAAACTGCCACCCTCATGGAGCATGAGTTCTGGTAGGAGAGACAGAAAAAAAATGCAAGAAAATACGCAATATTTCACGTGTTGATGAGAGCTATGGAGACAAAGGAGAAGGGAGAAGACCAAGGTGTTCTAATGAAGGATGATCAGGAAGGCTCGTGTTATAAGGTGACATTGTGCAGAGACGTGGGGGAAATGAGTGAATGTGTCTTGAGGCTGAGAGACAGCCGTCTGGCAAGTCCACAGGCCCCTAAGCAGAAACAAGCTTGGCGTGATGGAGGAATCACAAGGGGCTGTAATGGCTGGAGCAGAGCTTATCCTCCCAGTTGAGGAGGTAGGAAGTAGAGGTTGAGATTTTGGAGTCGAGCAGACCTGAGATATCTAATATACAATTTTAAGGCACTGGTGTTGCTGTGATAGAACCTTTCTGGGTCACCCCAAAGTACTGACAATGACAAATATATTGGGCAGGCGGTGTGGGGAATGTCAGAGAAAGAGGCTGAGTTTTTCTCTGGGTCCATGCAGTGCAGAGAGAAGAGAATAAATGTGAGACAGAGAGAAACGGGAGCAGGAACTTGGAGGTAGAAATAATCAAAAGAAACAGGAACCCTGAGGAATCTGCAAAAGTCTTGGCAAGATGTTCAACTCATAGGATGTGGGATATAAGCTCAGGCCAAATTTATTTAAAATGCAAAGGAAGAGGTGACCACAGCTTACCTCTGGGCCAAGCTTATTTAGTATACCAAATATTTGAAGAATCATTTCTTCTTAATTTGGTTTGTTCTTAGTAGATGCTCCCACTGGTTTAAACCTGAATTTCAAGCTGTTGTGTTTTTTTTAAACCTACACTAAATAATACACGGGTGGGTGAAAAGCAGAAGGAGGCTTTGTGAATGAGCTTTTTTAAATAGTGAGATTCCTTGGCATGCATAAAATGTTATTTGGGATAGAAGAAAGCTTGATTTATGAAAATCTTCCCTAGGCCACGTAGTGCAGAATCAGGGGACTCTGGCATCGCCGCCCGGCATGCAAATAAACGTTTCCAGCAGTTCTTTAGAGTATGCATTTCTTGTTTTTTTGGCTGCAGAAAGTATGGTGTCCAAAAATTAGGTAGGGTTTGCTTTGCATTCCAGTTGTCCGTGTTGCCAGAAAACAATGCCATCTGGATGTCATTCCTTCACCTAGAGTAAGGCGCTGTCACCATGCGTAAGCATTATAACATAATCTCTGGGTTACAGTCCTGGCTGGTCACTGACTAGCTTGGAAAGTTTACCACAAATCCTCTGAGTCTCACTTCTCCCTACTGTAAAGGCAGGATAATTATTAATTTGAGAACACGTTTGGTTGTACTGAGGATCCAATAAGAGAATATTTGGCAGAAAAATCTGGCCAATGGTAAATGGTATTCAGTAAATAAACACATTTTGGTCGTCAGCAGAGAGCTACCTGGATTTTATTTTATTTCCTTCCTTTTTTTTTTATCGTAGAGAAAAATGACAGGGATTCACTTTCTAAGAAATTACACTATGTTCAATGACTTCCCATCAAGAGTAGGCAATGTTCCGTATCCTGCCATTGGTAAGTATCAAATGGGCCCGTGTCAGACAAGTCATGGCTTTTAATCTCCCTTTATTGGCCACGTCACCTGTCAGTGACCTTGACTGTTGCCGGCTGCCTCATGTTCTGCAGTTTCCTGATAAGTGTGTTTCCGGCTTTTGAAGTTATGTCTGCCGAAAACCACATCTGGTTCACCGCCGCCTCAACAGACACACAATGAAATACAAAAGGCTAATTCTGCTGTGTACGCAATCCATGTTTCTTTCCCCAGAGGATTCCAGATGGAGTGAACTCAGTAGAGGCGGTGCTTCGACGGCTGATGATCTTGCGGAGAGGAGAGAGGAGCATTAGTTACGGTTTTAAGTCCCGGCTGAACTGGCAGGGGTTACATGACCTCAGACTCAGGGGTAAGTGCGCAAGCTCTCGCCCCTGGAAGGGCTGTGATGCCTTTCAACAGCCACACCTCTCCGTTGAACCCATCAACACCCTTTGTGCAGAGGTGGGTTGAGATTTCTCAGATGAAGTAACATTTCCTACTCTAGTAGTCTCAATTGGTAAATATAATTGTTTTTTTTTTTTTTTTTTTGAGACGGAGTCTTGCTCTGTCGCCCAGGCTGGAGTGCAGTGGCGCGATCTCGGCTCACTGCAAGCTCCGCCTCCCGGGTTCACGCCATTCTCCTGCCTCAGCCTCCCGAGTAGCTGGGACTACAGGCGCCCGCAACCACGCCAGGCTAATTTTTTTGGTATTTTTTAGTAGAGACGGGGTTTCACCGTGTTAGCCAGGATGGTCTCAATCTCCTGACCTCGTGATCCGCCCGCCTCGGCCTCCCAAAGTGCTGGGATTACAGGCGTGAGCCACCGCGTCCGGCCGGTAAATATAACTTTAATGTGGACATCAGAAGGAATTCTGGTATTACGAGTGGTGGGAGAAGCATTTTATACTTTATTAGGGTATGAATAACAACATCTTTATTTACTTTTAACTTTTATTTTAGGTTTAGGGGTACATGTGCAGGTTTGTTATAAAGGTTAAATTGCATGTCATTGGGGTTTGGTGTCCAGATTATTTCATCACTCTTGTAATGAGCACAGTACCCAATAAGTAGTTTTTTGATGCTCACCCTCCTCCTTCCCTCCCTGCTCAAGTAGGCCCTGGTGCCTGCTGTTCCCTTCTTTGTGTCCATATATACTCAATGTTTAGCTCCCACTTATAAGTGAGAACATGCGACATTAGATTTTCTGTTCCTGAGTTAGTTCACTTAGGATAATAGCCTCCGGCTTCCTCCATGTTGCTGCAAAGGACATAATCTAATTCTTTTTTATGGCTGTGTAGTATTCCAGGCTGTATAATTACCACATTTTCTTTATCCAGTCTACCGTTGATGGGCATTTAGGTGGATTCCATGTCTTTGCTATTGTGAATAGTGCCGTGATGGACATACATGTGCATGTGTCTTTATGGCAGAACAATGTATATTCCTTTGGGTATATGCCCAGTAATGTGATCGACAACATATTTATTTAAAAATTGAGCACTTATTTAAAAAATCTTAAGTGCTTTCTTCATTGGCTGTGAAAGCTCTGAGTTTTCTGTGAATGTCATTAGGTCCATTGTACACATGTGAAAAGTAAAGCAACACACCCAAAGATGGTCAGTCCTTTGAACTTGGGTTGTTTGATGTTTGTGACTATTACATAGATGCCATTTATATTGAGTATATGTCTAGCAGCTTTATTGCTGGGTCACAGGCTGGACGTATGTTTAGTTGCTGGAGATTGCCAACTCATTTTCCAAAGCTGTTATACCCATTTGTATCAATTTTTTCCAAGCAGCACAGCCAAATTTGAAGCTGGATCTGGCTGATTCCAGCTCTAACTTTTTTTTTTTTTTTTTTTTTTTTGGAGAGAGGGTCTCACTCTGCCACCCAGGTGGGAGTACAGTGGCACAATCACAACTCACTGCAGCTTTGATCTCCCTGGGCTCAAGTGATCCTCCTACCCCAGCCTCCCAAGAAGCTGGTACTGTAGGCATACTCCACCATGCCCAGCTAATACTTGTATTTTTTATAGAGAAGGGATTTCATCATGCTGCACAGGCTGGTCTCGAACTCCTAGGCTCAAGCAACATGCCGAAGTGCTGGGACTACAGGTGTGAGCCACCACGCCTGGCCCCTAATATATATGTGTGTGTATTTTATATACGTATATATAATGTATTACACATATTTTTACATTATATATATTTTACATATATATTTTATGTATTATATATTTTACATATATATTAGAAACATTTACACATATATATTTACATGTATATTTTACATGTATATGTTTATATATTTTTTATGTATTTATTTTACATATATTTTAAGATATATAAAATTCATAGCAGGCAAAAACAGCTTCTAATATTTTGAACCATTGTACTATATCCTACGAAAGTACTAAGTATAAATAAGAGAGACTTCCCGGAGAACCATTGCTCCTGGCCAGTAGAGGGTTTGGTTTTTGGAGGTGGTTTTGTTTTGTAAACGTCTTTGTTAATATGGAACATTCAGACAAGTGCATAAATCTTAAGTGAGCAGCTCAGTGAATTTTTGCAAAGTGATTATTACCATGCAGCTACCACCTGACCAGGATATAAAGCATTTCTAGCACCACTGACAGCCTTCCTCCAACTTTGTTCTTATTCCAAATTATCTTTACTCTAGTGACCCTTCACAATTCCACATGCCATTTAGCATGATGCGGTCATTTTCCACAACAAAAAAATCCTGCTGGGATTTTGATTGAGATTGCATTGAATTGATTGATTAATCTGAAGATTTTGTTAGATTGGTTCTTTCTTCCCTAAGTATTCAAAATAATTCACTGGTAAAAACACGTAGGCCTGGGGTGGTTGTGTGTGTGTGTGTGGTGTGGAGGGACTGAGAGAAGGGATGAATTATAATTACAGATTTAATTTCTTTTTTTAATTTGTAATTTTTGTGGGTCAATAGTATGCATATGTATTTTGGGGTATACGAGATATTTTGATACAGGCATATGATGTGTGATAATCATGTCAGGGTAAAGGGAGTGTCCATCACCTCAAGTATTTATCCTGTCTTTGTGTTACAAACAATCCAGTTATACTCTTTTAGTTATTTTAAAATGTACAATGAATTATTGACTGTAGTCATCCCGATGTGCTATCAAATACAGATCTTATTCTGTTGAACTCTGTACCCATTAACTATCCCCCCAGCCACTAGCCTCTGATAACCACGGTCCAACTCTCTATCTCCACAAGTTCAATTGTTTTTCTTTTTAGCTCCCACAAATGAGTGAGAACATGGGAAGCTTGTCTTTCTGTGCCTGGCTTATTTCAATGAACAGAATGACCTCCAGTTTCATCCGTGTTGTTGCAAATGACAGGATCTCATTCTCTTTTATGGAGGAATAGTACTCCATTGTGTATGTGTACCAAATTTTCTTTATCCATTCCTCTGTTGGCGGGCACTTAGATTCTTCTAGATCGTGGCTACTGTGACAAGTGCTGCAGTAAACACGGGAGTGCAGGTATTTCTTTGATACACTGATTTCCTTTCTCTTGGGTATATATCTAACAGTGAGATTCCTAGATCATAGGGTAGTTCAATTTTTAGTTTTTTTGAGGAACACCCTAGATTTAATTTATTAGCTATTGGAGTATTCGGATTTTCTGTTTCTTATGTCAGTTTTGCTAGGTCATTTTTAGGGAAAAACTTCCATTTTATCTAAATCTTCCAATCTATTGACTTAAAGCTGTTCTACAACGCATCAAGGAATTATTTTATGTGATAGATACGTTCTATGTGTTGATTGTGGTCATATTTACATGGGGGTATACATTTGTCAAGTCTTATTCAACTGTGCACTTAAAATGGGTACATTATATGTATTTACATTATATGTAAATTATAGCTCAGTGTGGTTCAATAAAAATTTACAATTGATACCATTTTATTTTTACCTGTACTTATGAAAAAAGTTAAAAAGTTTAATCATATCAAGTGTTGGCAGTAAGATAGGCTACACTGCAAGAGAGGGTATACATTGCCACAACCACCTGGAAGAACAATTTGGAAATACTATTTATTTATAGATTGATTGATGGAGTCTCACTCTGTCACCCAGGCTGGAGTGTAGTGGTGCAGTCTAGGCTCACTGCAACCTCTGCCTCCTTTGTTCAAGTGATTCTCCTGCTTCAGTCTCCCAAGTAGCTGGAATTACAGGCATGCTCCACCATACCCAGCTAATTTTTCTATCTTTAGTAGAGATGGGGTTTCACCATGTTGGCCAGAATGGTCTCGAACTCCTGACCTCAAGTGATCCACCCCCCACTGGCCTCCCAAAGTGTTGGGATTACAGGCGTGAGCCACCACACCCAGCCTGGAAATTCTTTTAAAATGGGAAATGATTATATGCTATCACCTACAGGGACACATTTTAGGGAGATCCTCACACATGTGCTCAAAGAGATGATGCAACATTTATTGCAGTTCTGTTTGTAAGAGAAAAAAAAATTAAAAATGTAACCATCACTCAGAGGTGAATGGTGGTAAACATACATGGTAAAATAGCTCTTAAATATAGCAAATTAAAATTACATGTTTGCAACTTGGACAAATCCCTCAAAGGAGTGAGAAAAAAATTACAAAGGAACTACAGTTGATGCCATTTATATATAAATTTTTAAAAGCACTATTCTTCCCCCGGTGTCATAAAAATTTTAGCTGAGTATGTGGAAATCCAGAATAAAGATTTCCTTGCAGCTAGGTGTGCCCATGTTTAAGCTATGTTCAACAGGATGTGAGGTGTGTTCAGCAATTCTGGAAACCTTCCCTAAGTGACAGCTGAGGAAAACCTTTTAACTCTGTCACTTCCTTCTCCTACCTGTCTTTCCCCCTTTTTTCTTTCTGTGTTTGTTTCCCAGGGCTACTGTAAGCAGACAGGAGGAGTCTCCAGGGATTGTAGGAATTTAATCCATTTGAGCAATCAGGCTGTTTTACAGCTTCCTGCCCTGCAGCCTGTTCTTCCCCAGCCCTGGGTAGAAAGAGGTCATCTTGTCAGTTTAAACCAGCTCCTGACAAGTGATGAACCCAAGTGAACGTTCCTTATTACCATGCTCAAGTCTCTACCCTGGGAAAAGCTATAGCTTCCTTACCATAACATGCAAACTATGTGCTGGCATGATGACTTACTGTGTCTGTACATCTACGTGGGATGACGTGTACCCTCTCTCCTCTCTATCACCCCATAAAACCCTCGTCACTTTCCCTCTGAGAGACACTGCTTTGGAGAATCCTCCCAGTGTCGTCCTTACTTGAGCCAAGTAATAAAACTCCCATTGATCAAAACCTGCTTCCTTGTGGAGAGTCATTTGTTACTTGTCAGGGGAATGAACCCCGGTGTTTTTCGGGTAACGCTACTGTAGCAAAGAGCTGTAAACTAGGTGGCTTTAAACAACAGAAATTTATTCTCTGACAGCTCTGGAGGCTTTAGAAGTCTGAAGTCAGTGCTCTCTGGGGGCTCTAGAGAAGAATGGATTATGTGCCTTGCTCCCACCTCCTTGTGTTGCTGGTGATCTTTGGCCCTCCCTGGCTACAGATACATCCACTATCTGCCCCTGTCTTCAGATTGCATCCTCTCACATGTGTCCGATTCTGGGTCTCTCCTCTTCTTATAAGGACACCCGTCACACTGGATCAGGACCCACCCTAAACCAGTATCTTAACTTGATCACACCTGCAAAGACCTTATTTTCAAGTAAGGCCACATTTGAAAATCAGGGGGGGTGGGGTTAGGACTTTAACATATTTTTTGTGGGAACACAGTTCAACCCACACCATCTTCCTATCCTCCTCCTATTTCTTTAATCCTTCTAAACCTTTCTGTGGGTTGGGATGTGAATGTGATAGCAGGAGCTATAACAGCTGTATTGGACCATGAGGTAAATTCAGAAATAGACTCCAGGAATGGAGGACCTAAAAAATCAAAGACAGTTGGGTTCCTAACATAATAATGAGGCCACATCAGGTATAGACTACCTATGAAGACTCTCATATGCAAAATAAATAAATATTTATCTTTTAAACCTCTCTTCTCTTTGTGTTGGGGTTTTTTCACTTGCAGTCAAATCTAATCTTAATACACACACACACATGCACACACACACACACACACATTTGCTCATATGATTTGTTGGACTCTAAGTGTGAACATACTAAACTTATGAAGCGTGGCTATCTCTGAGGAAGAGAGAGTAGAATGAGAAATGATGGTCAGAGGGAACTTCAACTTCCTCTGACACCTTTTATTTCTTTAAGTAAAAGAAGACAAATATACTAAAAGTTTAGTATTAATAGCTTTGAATTATAGATGGTGGAAATCTTTGATAACATTAATATTTGAATTTTGAATTTTAAAAATTTGTCCTTCCAGAATCTCCTCAAATATTAAGAGGACTCTATTTGCACCTTTTACTCCAAGTCGCATGAATCAGTGTGAAATTCCTGGAATGTACTGGCTATTTTTTTTCTTTTTTTTGAGAGAGTCTCACTCTGTCACCCAGGGTGGAGTGCAGTGGCGTGATCTCAGTTCACTGCAACCTCCACCTCCTGCCTCAAGTGGTTCTCCTGCCTCAGCCTCCTGAATAACTGCAATTACAGGTGTGCACCACCATGTCCACCTAATTTTTATATTTTTAGTAGAGATGGGGTTTCACTATGTTGGCCAGGCTGGTCTTGAATTTCTGACCTCAGGTGATCTGCCTACTTCAGCCTCCCAAAGTGCTGGGATTACAGGCATGAGCCACCATGCTTGGCCCCTGCACTGGCTATTTTTGACCCTCTCTGGACATACTACCTGCCCCAGTTGGACTGTCCTCCTTTTCCTCACCTGGGCATCTCCTAAGCATCCTCCAGTCTCAGCTCCAAGTTAATGACAGGTGATGAGACATCTAAGTAAACATTTGGAAAATCAGCGAAAATTAATTTCCATCAGATTCCATAATAAAAGCCCAATAGATGGTTCTTTTTCATAATTGCCTAAATTACAAAAGTAACACTTGCTCACCATAAGAAATGCAAAGACCAGGATAATAAAACTTGATAAGAGCAAAAATTGAAATCTGCCTTTTATCATCTCCATTGTATCCCAGGCACAACTAATCTGTATAAAGGTTTAAATATCTTAAAACTAAACTGTAGAGCACTAGGATAAAATTGGGGACTATTTTAAAAATCCAATGGTAGGAATGAATATTTCTTACATGGAACTGAAGGTGGAAACTTTAACCAGATTCTTCTGTAATTAAAACAGTTTTAAAAATCTTACATAAATGAAAAACTAGGAAAATATCTGCAACATATACAATGGACCAGAATTACAATATCCTTAATATGTAAAGGGATATTTCAAATTCATACAGAAAGAAAAAACAGGTATTTTATTTTATTTTATTTTATTTTATTTGCGACTGAGTCGTGCTCTGTTGTCCAGGCTGGAGTGCAGTGGCGTGATCTCCACTCACTGCAACCTCTGCCTCCTGGGTTCAAGCAATTCTCGTGCCTCAGTCTCCCAAGTAGCTGGGATTATAGGCACCTGCCAGCACGCCAGGTTAATTTTTGTATTTTTTCTAGAAACAGGTTTCACCATGTTGACCAGGCTGGTCTCAAACTCCTGACCTCAAGTGATCTACCCACCTTGGCCTCCCAAAGTGCTGGGATTACAGGTGTGAGCCACTGTGCCCAGCCACAACAGGCAATTTTGGAGAGCAAAAACTAAGTGTAACTGGTACATAAAAATAAATAATATCTGTTGATGGGGAGAATGTAGGGGAATTTGCACATTCATATAATTCTGGTGGAATTGAAAAATCAACAAAACTTTCTAGGAGAAAATGTGGCCCTATGTATCAAAAGCCTTTAAAAAGATACAGTATCCCCCTTTATTAATGGTTTGGATGTCTGGGGTTTAAGTTACATATAGACAGTCCAATAAAATATTTTGAGAGAGAGAGAGAGATCACATTCACATAACTTTTATTGCTGTATATTGTCATAATGTTTTATTTTTTGCTAATCTTTTATTGTGCCTAATTTATAAAATAAATTTTATCATAGGTGTGTATAGATAGGAAAAAAACATAGTATGTATAGGGCTTGGTACCATCCTTACTTCCAGCCATCCCATGGGGGTATTGGAAAGTATACACTCCACCACCGCCCTGTGGAAAAGGGAGTCTACTATGCATGATTTTGACTCAGTGATTTCACTAGGAATCCCTTAAGAGAAAATAAAGAGGACTATGGGTGAGCTACCAATCTATTCGTCTCAATGGTGCATATAGTAGCAAAGAAAATTGTAAACAACCTGTTTATAATCTTCATTAAACAAATGATGGCATATTTGTTCAATAGAATAGTATGAAGGTTATTAAAGTGACTTAATTTCTTCAGAAGATGTTTGCAATGTATTAAGTGAAAAATTAAAAATTATATAAATCCATCTTTTTAAAAAGGTGTCCGTACATGTATATCATACAGAACACTGGAAGAATTATATATCAATGTGTGCAAGGGGGGATGTTTCAGAGGGGTGGGACTATGGGTAATTTTCATTTCCTTTTTGTTTGTTTTGTTTTGTTTTGTTTTTTGAGGCAGAGTTTCGCTCTTGTTGCCCAGCGCCATGGCACGATGGCTCACTGCAACTTCCGTCTCCCGAGTTCAAGCGATTCTCCTGCCTCAGCCTCCCAAGTAGCTGGGATTACAGGCATGTACCACCACACCTGGCTAATTTTTGTATTTCTAGTAGAGACGGGGTTTTACCATGTTGGCCAGGCTGGTCTCGAACTCCTGACCTCAAGTAATCCATCTGTCTTTGCCTTCCAAAGTGCTGGGATTACAGGCATGAGCCACTGTACCCAGCCTCATGTTCTTTTTATTTATCAATATGTTTACAATGAGGAAAATGTTTAAAAAGGTCCCAGTTGAAGCATCTCATCCTTTGGGAAGCCTTCCTGCCCTCCAGTCCTTATAAATACCCTTCCTGTGTGTGTTCACTGTGTGTATCTCACAAGACTAGCAAGCTGACCTCTTCAGTGTTAATTTCCTTGTTCTGTTCATTGTTCATCACTAGAGTATAACTTCCTTGAGGAAAAGAGACATGTCTTGCCTTGTCACTGCATTCTCAATTTGTAGTTTGAAGAATGTTTGTTGAATGATGAATTGAAAATGTCCTTTTATTTGGTCTTTTAAGTAACTATCTGCTAGCATCCCACTGTTTAATAATTTATAAAATTGGAAATCACAAATTTCTAATGGGAGTGAGTAATTGCTTCAAACTCTGGTTTTGCCAATGGAGAAACAGAGGCTGGGGAGAAACGAAGTGACAACCGGTGTTGTGTGGTGGGCTAGGGGCAGGCTAGGACCACACCTGCTCTCACGGTTTTTCTCCTGAGGCTTTCACAGACCAGACTGCTTAGCAGGCCTCCTGATTTGCTTTTGTTATATGGGGAAATCTGACACACAGAGAATCGTGAGGGGGATGAATGTTTCTAGTTAGGGCAGGAGGGGGCAGTGAGAAAGGGAGAAATCTGGCTGCCCATGAGAAACAAGGTTTAAAACTAGATTTTATGATATTCCACCTGTCTCCATGCTCTGAAATTGTGTGCGTGTGTGCGCGCGCACATGTTTACTTCATGGGGAAGAAAGTGCAAGAAAACTTTATCTCGGGCAGCCTGGCAAATTCAACCTCTAAGACAGCCACCCTCAGAAATCTGCTCAAGCTGTTCCTTTCTTTCCTCAAATGTCCCCTGATGGTCTCCCCACCTCTCAAATTTGCTGGGTCATTGCATCTGTTTCTACCTGGCTGCATCTGAGTAGTCGCAGTGTCAGTAAGTGAATTTGGGCTTCCAGCTGCGGGCCTCAGCAAGTTTATCTCTGAAAATGGACCTGTCTTCACACTTAATCGTGTCTCTGTGTCCCCCATCTCTGAGCAAACAGCTGGAAAGTGAGTTGAGTCAACCAGTAGTTGGTCTGCATGGGGCTTTCTGGATGACACATATTTTGATATTTAATCCTCAAAACGTTTTGATATTTAATCCTCAAAACCATTCTGTGAGGAAGAGCTGTCATCCCCATTTTGTAGATGAGAATACTGAGTCCCAGGGAGAGAAGGTTACCTTCCCTGGGTTATACAGCCGCAAGTGGGTGAGGCTGGCTGAGAAAGCTGAGGGTTTGGGTATGAGGAAGTTAAATTTGCTTTCCCCCTTCTGGCAGGTAGCATTTGCAAGGGCCGTGTGTTTAAAAACAAAAAATGACTTTAGTATTCATAATACTTAGGAACACGTAATAAACACTGAACCTGGTTCTCTACCTTAGACTTCATAATTTGAGGAGAAGAAATTCAATGTAGTCATTTTTAAGAGATCCTTGTCCCTTCTTGAGGTTATACAAGTATCTTAGGACTTGTGAGTTTTTGGGAAAAATAAAGCCCAGATGGGTCCTGTGTTTTCTGTGGGTGTTGTTATTATTTATTTTTATTTATTTTATTATACTTTAAGTTCTAGGGTACATGTGCACAACGTGCAGGTTTGTTACATATGTATACATGTGCCGTGTTGGTTTGCTGCACCCATTAACTCGTCATTTACATTAGGTATTTCTCCTAATGCTATCCCTCCCCCATGCCCCCACCCCACGACAGGCCCCTATTATTATTATTTTTGAGATGGGGTCTCGCTCTTGTCAGCCAGGCTGGAGTGCAGAGGCGCATTCTTGGCTCACTGCAACCTCTGTCCCCTGAGCTCAAGAGATCCTCCCTCCTCAGCATCCTAAGTAGCTGAGACCCCAGATGTGTGCCACCACGCCTTGCTACGTTATTTTATTTATTTATTTTTGTTAGAGACAGGGTTTTACCATGTTGCCCAGGCTGATCACGAACTCCTGAGCTCAAGCAATCTGTCTGCCTCTGCCTCCCAAAGTGAGGGGATTACAGGTGTTAGCCACCGTGCCCGGCCCTGTGGGTATCATTATTGAAGGTGCTTTTGTTTTCTGTTCTGGATGGCTCAGAGGTGTCTCTTGAAGTGTCATCTCCGTGGACCACAGATTCAGCCATAGGTATCCACACCGATGCTCTAGTATCATACACACACTGCACAGGCCTGCAGCAGTCATTGTTGCCATTGACAAATATTTGTTACCAAGGTTTCCACCCCTTGCAGAATACCCACGCTAGTCTTGCGGATGTATCATCCTAGGAGTGGGTCAGTTCTGTATTCAGACTCCAGAGCCGAGCCCCCTGTGGCAGAGTAGGAGTGCCCAAACCTGCAAGATCCTACAGCCGTGCTTGCCATCTTGAGATGTAGATAACATTTTTATCATTCTCTTTAAACTATTTTTCTTATTTTGTTGAGGTATAGCTTATATACACTAAAATGCACAAATCCTAAGTATACGGATCAATGGATTTGTATACAGGTATATGCCTTAGGTAACCACCATCCAGATCTAGTCACAGAACATTTTCATTACCTTAGAAAAATCCCTCATGACCTATTAAAGTTACCCCACTGTTGGATGTAACCACTGTCTGATCTCAATCACTGTAGCTTAGCTTTCCTGTTTTTGCCATTCATATAAATGGCATGATCCAGAAGGTACTCTTTTGTTTCTAGCTTCTTTTGCCCAAAATATTTTTGAAAATCATCCATGTTATTTGGTTTTACCACATTTCATTCTATTTGTATTAATGTTTCGTATTACATTGTATTTGCATACAGCAATTATCTCTTTTCCTTTTTATAGACCTTTGCATTGTTTCCAGTTTGGGACTAGTAAGAATAAAGTTTCTATGAGCATTCTTGTACAAATGTTTTTGTGGGCATCCATGAGATGGTTTGGCTGTGTCCCCACTCAAATTTCATCTCAAATTGTAATCCGCATATTTCAGGGGAGGGACTTAGTGGGAGGGAGGTGATTGGATCACAGGGGTGGTTTCCCCCATGCTGTTCTAGTGATAGTGAGTTCTCGCAAGATCTGATGGTGATGTAAGTGACGATTTCCCCTGCTCTCTCTCTCCTGCAGCCTTGTTAAGGATGTGCATGCTTCTCCTTTGCCTTCCACCGTGATTGTAAGTTTCCTGAGGCCTTCCCAGCAATGCAGAACCGTAAGTCAATTAAACCTCTTTCCTTTATACGTTATCCAGTCTCTGGGAAGTTCTTTATGGCAATGTGAAAAATGGCCTAATATAATACATACTTGTTTCTCTTGGGTATAACTCTAAGATTGAAACTGGGGTCTTATTTAATTTTATTGGGAACTGGCAAATTGTGTTCCAGAGTAATTGAGTTACTCTGTATTTTATATTCCCATTAGCATTGTGTGGGAGTTCCAGTCACTCTACATCCTTGCCAATACGTCTATTATTCTTTTTTATTCCATCCCAGTCTACAGGAAAACTGGATGCTTATTTTCTCCATCAGAGTTTTCCGCCATGTTGTACTTTCTGCCATATTGTATATATGTTGCTGTTCCTACTGGGGACATATACACCAAAGTTTAAGATCATGGTTTTTCATTTTCACCCTGGATTTCTCCGAACTGCCATCCAGCTTTCCTTCTCCCCTACCTTAAATCTTACTTACTTTAATTCTGTTTGGAAAAGTGGAAAGTAATATAGATCAAGTAGCTATCTCCTATTATATTCAAAGTAAAATGTATATTAGAGAAGTAGGTATAAGAAAATCTTCATTTAGGGCCAGGCACAGTGGCTCATGCCTGTAATCCCAGCACTTTGGGAGGCAGAGGTGGGTGGATCACCTGAGGTCAGGAGTTCCAGACTGGTCTGGCCAGCATGGTGAAACCCCGCCTCCACTAAAAACACAAAAATTATCTGGGTGTGATGGTGCACGCCCATAATCCCAGGTACTTGGGAGGCTGATGCAGGAGAATTGCTTGAACCCAGGAGGCAGAGGTTGCAGTGAGCAGAGATCACTCCACTGCACTCCAGCTTGGGTGACAAAGTGAGACTCCATCTCAAAAAAAAAAAAAAAAAAAAGTCTTCATCTGGGGGCAGTCTAGTGTAATGGAAAATTCTAGAATTCTGGACTCAGATGGCCCTGTCCCTTACTGACTGTGACTTTAGACACATGATTTAATAGCATGGAATTTCAGATTCATTGACTATAAAATACAGAGAGTAAAAATTCAATGACATAAAGGAGGTAAAACAGTATGCTACAGACTAGGTAATTCTTCTCAAGTACATTTCAATTTTAGTTTGTATCAGACAGGATGTGCTGTGGTTACCACACGCAGCCCCCAAATCTCAGTGGTTTAGCATGATGGAAATTTGTTTTTTACTCACATTCTATTTCTAACCCTGGTTGTTGGAGCTCTCTCATCAGTCACTTAGGAACCTAGTCTAAAGGAGATGTCACTTTGGCTCCAGGTTGCATGAATAATAGCATTGAGTGCTAGTGGGGGAAGGGGGTATGGTGGTAAATTCGGGTGTCCAGTCAGCAAATATGTGCTGAGGAACCTATTCTGTGATAAACATTGGAAAGACAGAAACAAACAAAAAATACTGTACCTGCTTCCAGGAGCTCACAGCATAATAACAGCAATAACAAGGACAACAGCAACTGTAGCTGCAGCAGCGAAAAGTTACTGATCACTTATGAAGCCCAGCACTGTATCAAGAACTTATTTTATGATGCAGATGTTTTCCCAATCAGAAAACTCAGATAAGGGAAAACAGAATTTTATTTTTCTGTAACTGAATTTCATTTTACTCTTAAGCACCCACTTCCACTGCAAAATTGAATTAGAGAAAATGTAATCACTTCTGGTTTAAAACTCAGTCTCTTGTGGATACTGCTCAGTTGACCCAACTTTCTACCCTTTGCATTTCTCTCTGTCTTTCCCACTGTGTTTAAAGTTCCTGGTGTGAGGTGCAGGCTTTAGTATTAAGGCATGCCAGACTTTGGGAAGTATCATCTGTTGTTACCTGTCCCCACCTAGTGTAGTTATGTGTCCCTTTGTTTCTACCACTGCTGATTGATCGTGGTTCTGTATCTGTTTTGGGGTCAATACATCCACATCCCTAATCCCCAAATGTGAGAATGTTTTGGTCCTCTGGTTCTCACGGCCACTTCTGTGCCCTTCGTGGAAACTTAGGTGCTTCCGGCTGCTCTCTCCACACCACACTGGCATGAGGATCTGCAAGGCTGCCCTCAGTCTTCCCCACCCAGAAAATCCCCATGGCCATTTCTACTCTGTGGCTTGGGTACCATGTAGGTCAAAGAACTTCTCTATAAATCGTACAGACTCCTGGGAACTGTAGCAGTGGCTCCCCTGCTCTGGGATTTCCCTAAACTTATTTATGGCTTCTTTCATCATCCTTACCCTAGACCATAGTTATTCTGTTTATCCAGGATCAACGTATACAAGTGTAATGGTTTTAAGTGACCTTAAATAAATGCCCCTGAAAAGATAGGCCAATCAGTGTTCCAGCTGCAGATGGAAACTAATCACTACTATTTTGTAATAGGGATAATAATGGTGTAAGTTCAGGACTGAAATACAAGCAAAGGCCTGAAGCCAGAATCAGTATGAATTAGGATTCTGTGTCCATTCATCATGAAGGCTGATCAGTTGTTGGCTTTGAACAGAAGGCTCATGCCTTGATTAGAGCTGTCAGTGGTAGGGAGTAAATTAAAATGTGTTTGTGCTCCACTAGTGTGTTTGAATTTTAAATCACTGGAAATCCCTGTGTGGCCTAAACTAGAAGTTTTCTCATATGCAAAGGGATGGAGTTGGAACAGATAGTTGATCCCTAAGTACCCTTCCAGCTATGAGGTATTCTGTTTCATAATAGGATGGTAAACAATCTTAACTCATTCCTTTGTAACTTAATTTTTCTGCATCAGGGAAGAATAGCAGCCAGTGCTTGGTATTTAAGCAAAACATACATTTATAATTCATTTATATGCAGTCATATATATTATAAATGGGAATCCAAAGGATACCACCCTTAATAAGCAAGTGAGAATTTATGAACTCCTTTGCTTCCAACCCACTACTATTATTTATCTTATATTAATGGCCTCTCTACCCAGTAGACTGCTCTAAGTCTATTAACTTTCTTTTTTAAAATGGCATCTTTCAGATTTGGTGCAAGCCATTGGGCTGTAGGCTCATTTGCAATTTCTCCATTTTTTATGAATACAGTGATTTATGTCACGGGGATGTAATGGCTCATTTTGGGTCTAATTTTGACTCCCACTTGGATTCAAGGCATCTGAGCATGTCTTATGGGCTCAACAAGCATCTAGTTGAATGAGTTGATTTTCATGATGATGATAGTTGTAAGGGGCAATTGAGAAGGTGGTTTATAAATGAGGCCTTGGGGAGAATGACATAGTTATAATGACTGCTGGCTTTGGGGACAGACATTCTTAGTCCCACTTTCTATCTCTGTAATATTGAGGGAGGTTAACTAGATTTGAGGGGCCTTGTTTATGTATCTACAAAATGAGCACAATTATAACCAAGCTCCTATGGTGGTAATTAAGAGTTCAACATGGTAATGTATGTAAAGGGACTTAGCAACTTGCCTTGCACAGAGTAAGTGTTCAATAAAGCTTAGCTGCTATTGTAATGTCTACCCCACACCTGGTCCCATGAACTTATTTCTGAACTTTTCATCACGGAGGACTGTAGGGAGAAGCCAACAGAGCTGTTTTCACAAGGGACCATGTGAAATGTTAAGGTGGGTCCAGAGGTCCTGGAATTTACATTTAAAGCCAGGAGCTAAAAAAATGAGAATTATTACTGTTCCTGACCTCATTTGTCCCTCGGGCTGGTGAGGCTTAGGGTACATTTATATTTGCTTTCTTATATCTATACCTTTCTTTTAGTCTTGGTGTTTTTCACATTGACAGAGCCACAAACTAACTAGAAGGCTACATACTCCTCAGTAAGAATAGCTAACATTTGCAGCATGTACTATATGTCAGGCACAATCCCATGTGGTTTTACAGGAATATCTAATAGAACCCTCACAATAATCTTTTGAGGGAGATCATTATTGTATAATTGAAAAAGCAGAGGCTTAGTGAGATGAAACAATTTTTGGTTTGTATCAGTCAGTATGAGCTGTGTTGTGCTGTGGTAACAAGCAGCTCCCAAATCTCAGTGGTTTGGCATAATGGAAATTCATTTCTTACTCTTACTGTATTTCTAACACTGACTATTTGGAGTTTTCTCATCAGTCACTTTGGAACCTAGGCTAAAGGAGACTTCACTTTGATACCACATTGCACAAATGATAGCACTGAGTGCTAACTGGAGTAAATTCGGGTTTTGAGCCATTTATTCAACAAATGTCATCAATAAAAGAAGGAGCTGGCATTCAAGTCTTGCCTGTCTAGAACACTCAATCTTAAGCAACCCATTGTGAACATAATCCCATAGCCCTCAAAGGCCTCACCTTTTCACCAACTAGTTCTGTTCCTTTTGTGATTGATGATGCAATTTCAGTGTTTTAAATGTTGTATTTACATTGATTGGGGCTGCTGAGATCATTCACACAAATATGTCTAGCCATAAATTCCAGAGAAACTGTGCCATGCAGTTCCAAATTCCTTCACTTCTCCCACCAGTACAAGGGCTTCATAGGAGCAAAGATTTGCAAATGATGTTCCCATCCAACACTTAACACTTCTTATTTTTAATCGAGACATCTTCTGCTCACCACTTTTGGCACTCTGCTTGTGCAGCCTTCTCTAGTCTCCAGACAACAGCTATTTTCTCTGTTAGCCAATTACCCTCCACTGAAGGTTCCAGTATCCTCATACCTGCAGAAAAAAATTACCTGGAAAGAATGCACTTTTCTCAGGGCCCAGACGGTGATGGATTGTACCATGATGGTTTTTGTTCACCTACACCGGTGGATTTTCCTTTCCTGCTGGAGGAAAAGATCTCATTCTGCAAATGCACTAATGATGTGTAATTATCATCGCTGCAAGCCTTCTACGCATCTGGGCTAATGGTTCCAGCTTCCATGATGATTCTCATATGTTACCCAATTCCATATTTGAGTGGTTCTGTCCTGCCCCTGGTAACAGTAACAGTTGGCTTCTAGACAAACTTAAATATCCTGGCTTTATATACCTGGCTCATAGCATGTGATGATAATAGCAATCACCACATAAGTTTCAATCATATCTTTACTCACAGAAGGGAGATACTCTTGGTTGAATATTTAATTCAGTTTTGTTAAAACTTGAAGTCTTCTTGAAACAGCGCTGCCTGACAGAAATATTTAACGTCAGGAATTCATGAGCAATGGGACCCCAAGGTCAAAAAAGGGGAATGAGTAGTCAAATCCAGCCTTGCTTGTCACAGCAGACTGGAGCTTCAGGAATTATTAAGCAGGCAGTGGGAAGAACAAAGGGGATAATGTTCTTTCCATTGAAGTAATTTTTCTCAATGCAAAATGCTTTTTCGGAGTCCATGTGGGTTAATTTCCACCCATTTTGCATGTAGGAGACATGCATCCAAGTCCTCAGTCTCAGAGTTGGAAGAAATATTTTTTCTTTATTTTCCTTATTTCTAGTAAACTTCACCCCAAACCCTCAAACAGTTAGGTTGCTTAAAATAAAAACAATTTTGGTCAATACTGAGGCTTCCCTACCCCTAGAGTTTGTTTATTACAGTAGTTATTGAATTGAATCCTTGAGATAGGACTTTCTGTTGATGTGCATACTACCTGAAACCATGTGACCCTCTTCTTCTATTTTAACATTGGAGCCCAAGACCCTTTTGTGGGGTTGCTGTCCCCTTACCCTGGGGTCCTGCTTTCAGAGGGGTACTTGATAGCTTCTCCTTTGATATCTAAATTTCTTGGGTGCTGCTCCTTCATAAAGGCCAAAGTTCCCACTGTTTGCAAGACACTCACTTCCCAACTGCAACCCCCTTTCCATTTCTAGGGGTGGAAATCCTGCCTCTTCCTGCTAGTTTTCCCTTCCTTGGTCTGATAAATCCAGTTCATGTCTTTATCTTGTGAATCCTCTGCAAATTGCTATGGCAAAAATCCCTAAGATCTCTTTTGAGATGGAAGACCAAACATACAGCAAAGAAAACACAGATTAATAATTCAAAAACATATCTGCCACTGGTAAAAAAAAAAAAAAAAAAAAAAATTAGAATCAAACCATTAATTTCTCCTTACACTTTCTCCTGCAGCAGTGAATATACTACAAAGCTTGGTTTCTGTGATAATAGGAATAAGGCTTACTGAGCTATATTGCATTTCCTAATTGGATCATTCTTCAACCATTTTATCTCATGGGTATCTACCCTGCCTTTTATGGTTGGGGTGGTTTTCTTTTCCTCCCCCTCTTAGATCTTAATTTTGCAAACAAGGACTGAGAAGTGGCATTAAGATCAGCCTCATTATCACATTGCAGTTTGGCACCTTATTCCTCTCTCCATCTTTATTAGCAGAGTCTCTGATTTTTTTAAGCTTATTTGCATAATTTCTAACATCCCGGGTTTATTCAGAAGGCCTTTTGATGAAGGAATGGAGAAGGTCTTCTCTACTCCAAAGGCCTCTTCATTAGGACACAGTGGAACACAGCACCTAAGAACACAGACTCCGCAGGCAACTGAAAAGCCTAGATTTGAGTTCTACTTAGCCGCTTCTGGGCTGCGTGACCCTTGGGAAGTTGTTCAACGTCTTTGAACCTCAGTTTCTCCATGTGTAGCAATAGCAGCTACATCTCATGACCAATCTGAATCACTCCATGGAAAATACAACAGTGTCCTGTTCATGCTATTGGGCGTTGTTATCATTATCCTTTTCTCTTTATTAATGTAAACATTTTACTGAAGAATGACGTACATACAGAAAAGTGCCTGTGTCATAAGTATAAAGCTCAAGGGGTTTTCAGAAATTGACACATCTGAGTCACCAGCATCCAGATCAACAAACAAAGCATTGGCAAAACTCCTAAGAGCACTTTCACAGCTCTTTCCTGCCACTAAATCCTTCCCCGCAAGGGGTAACCACTCTCCTGACTTGTAACAATTGCAGGTTAGTTTTACCTATTTTTGAACTTTATATAAATGGAGTCAAACACGATGCACTATTTTTGTCTGATTTCCTTTTCCTGATATTTTTCATGAGATTCATTCTCTGTTGTAGTCAGCAGATATAATTCATTTTTAATTGCTGTATAGTGTTCTATTTTGGGAATATGTCACAATTTTTATCCATTCTACTTTTGGTGGACATGTATGTTGTTTCTGATTTTGGGCTATGAAATATAGCAATGCTATAGTATATCTAATGCATATATTTTGGAGAATTTGTATATGTATACATTTTTATAGGCATATATTTAAGCATGAAATTACTGAGTCACAAGTTATGGATCTGTTTAACTTTAGTAGACACTGTCAGTGTTCCCAAGTGGTTGTAAAATTTACACTCCCTCCAACAATGAAAAATAATTCCAGTTGATCTACATTCTCACCAATGTTTGGTATCATTGATTTTGTTCATTTTAAACAACATGGTGGGTGTGTAGTCATATTGTGGGTTATCCATCAGATAGCTGATATTTTATTTTTTCAACTTTTCATTTGGAAATAATTTCAAACTTACAGGCAAGTTGCGAGATTAGTACAAAATTGTATGCTCTTCACCCATATACATCAACTGTTCATCATTTTCCACATTTGCTTTATTTTCTCTCTGTAGGCGTGCACATACTGCTTTTTAAAAATATGAGGTAAGTTTCAGATATCATGCCTCATTTACCACTAAATGTTTCAGAGTGTGTGTACCAAGAACTATCTCTTAAATAAACACAGTATAGTAATCAAAATCAGAAAAACTCACCACTCATACGATATAATTATGTAACCTGTAGATCTTATTAAAATTTTTCCAAATATTCCTGTAATGTTTTTGTAGCATTTTTTTCATGCTCTGGATTTAATCCAGGATCATGCATTACATTTAGTTTTCATGCCTCTGTAGTCTTCTTTAATATGGAATGTTTCCTGTCTCTTGTCGTCTTTCAGGATATTCACATGTTATGAAGAGCATAAGAATTACTGTAATTTTGGCTTATTGGATGTTTCCTGATGAGATTCAGGTTATACATTTTTGGTGAATTATTATATAAGTGATAGTGTGTTCTTCTCAGTACATGACGTTGGTTTGTTCTGTCACTATTGTTGTTGACTTTAATCACTTTGTCAAAGTAATATATGCTAAACTTCTTCACTATAAAATTACTTTCATCCCCTTGTAATTAATAAATAACTTTAGGGGATATACTCTGAGGCTGTGTAAGTATACTGTACTTCATCAAACTTTCATGCACTTATCTCAGCATCTATTGATGATACTTGCCTGAATCAATTATTACTATGATGGTTGCAAATAACTTTCTAATTCCATTGCTCCTCCATTAATTAGTTTGCATTCTACAGTAAGGAAGTGCTTTCCCTTCCCTCCATTAATTAATTAATCACTCATCACAATAGAGAAATAAAGACATTAGACTAAGAAGAGCAACACAGTGATATATGCTAGAATAGTGGGCATGACAAACGAAACAGCACTTGAGATCTGAAAGACAGCTAAAAATTAGGCTATCAAAGAGGACCAGAAAAAAGTGAGGCAATAGGAAAAGCACAAGCAAAGGCTGTGAGTTCAAAGACAGCCTGAGAAAAATTCACCATGGTTGGGGTGTAGCAAGTAAAGGGAGACAAGTGAAGGTTGAAAGCCTGGAAGGAAAGCCTGAGGCAATCATTAAGATTAACTCCTCATTCATGACAGTGGGTTTCTCTATTTGGAAAGATTTTTTTTCACTGTGTCTGCCTGCGTCAGGCCCACCCATACTCAAATTCTTATCTATTTCTTTTAACTATTGCTTTTAAACAGAAAATCCCCAAGTTTAGTGGCTTAAAACAATGATTTATTATGTCTTGAGCTTTTGTGGGTCAGCAGTGGGGGCAGGGTTCAGCAGGGTGGTTCTTCCACTCCATGTGACATTGGCTGAAGTCTCTTACTTGGCTGCCTTCTTGATTGCCTGGACTGGGTTTGGAAGTCCAAGAAACTTCTCTCACATTTCTGGGGACTTGGTGCCTCTTCACATGACCTCCCTCTTTCCATGTGATAGTTCATATGTTAGTAGTCAAGCCCATGCATCTTTACAGCATGGTGGGTCCTCCTAAGAGCAACAGTGGGAGCTGCCAGGACTCATAAAGGTTATTACTGACACAAGTCACTTGCATTGCATTCTATTGACAAGTTACTGGGCCAGCCCAGATTTCACTGGGAGAAAAAAATGGATTTCATCCTTTGGCAAGGAGGGAAGGAATCTTCAGAGACAATCTATCATGCCACCTCTTTCAGGAAGTCTTCCCTGACTTCTCCAATCTCATTTTCTACCAATCTATCAATCACAGTTATTGTTCTGAGCCTTTGTTAGGCTCATTTTATATAGTGCTTTGTGGTATTTCCAAAATTTTTCAAGTGTCAATATTTTAGCTTTACTGATTCCTGAAGTAGAACCTCATTTACTTAAGTGCAGTAATTAATAAATTTGGATAATAATAGGCTGTCATTTATGGAATGATAACCATGCATCTGGCCTATGCAAGATACTTTACCTTAATTATCTAATTATATCCGCTTAAGAAGATAAAACTGTCTTTATTTTTTAACAGAAAGAAAACCAAGTCCCAGAAGGAAAACAAATTGCTTAAGGTTGTCTGACAAATTAGGGGTAGAGTCAACATTGAAACCGAGGTCTGTGCAATTCTAAAATTGTGTTGCAATCTTCCTACATATAATCATTTATTGAGCACAAACTATGTGTTAGTCTCCTTGCTTAGCACTAGGGATTCAGAAATGTGTAAATGCCCTTAGTCTAACAGAGAAGGAAGATGTGTAAACAAACACTGACTACTCAGTGTTTAAAGGCACAGCATGTTAAATGCTAGAGTGGAGTTCTGAGACTCCAGACCAGGGTTCATCAACCCTGCCAGGAAAGGTTGGGGAAGGCTTGACCATGGCAGGGACATTTGAATTGCAGCTTGAAGGATAAATAGGAATTCACTAAGGAGAGGAGGAGGGGAGGGGAGGGGAGATTGATGGGAGATGAAGTTGGAGAATTAGGTTCCAATTGTAAAGAAAGGGAAGGAAAGGAAATCATTGCCATTGAGCATCCCTTGTAAGCTTGTCCCATTGAATCCTAAAACCTGCTCTGAAAGTGCTATTCTCATATTCCCGTTCTCATAGATAGGAAAGCGAAGCTAAGAGAGATCAAATCATATACCAAAGGCCGCATTACATAGTTTGGACTTTATCTTATAGGTATCAGGAAGCGAACACACTTTCAAAACCAGCGCATGACCTGACCTGACAGAGAAATGAACATTGTTGTCATATAGAGATGGGAAAGAGTGGGTAGAGGGTAGTAGTGTACAGACCAGATTTAGGGGGTTGTTCCTACTACCAGCCATGAATTGATGAGGACCTTGATGAATTCAATGGTAACAGGATGGAGAGGAGGGGCTGAACAGAACTTAGGGTAGTGTTTATGAGGTATAAATAATGAGACTGACGCACTGGTAGGATACAAAAATGAAGGGAGAAGAGTCAAGAATTCAAAGCTTCTAGGTTTGGTTGATATTTTCATCAAAGGGGTTATGGGAGTCACAGAGCTCAACTGATATCCCTTAGTTGCTTCACAAATTACTCTCTCTCTGAATCTCACTTGTCCATACCTGAAAATGCAGATAAGATAATAGTGTTACCTACCTCATTAGCTGACTTAAATGGAGCTAACACATGAATGGTGCTGAGCACAAAGCTCGGCTCATGGCAATGAATATCAACTCTCATTCATTCAATGAATATCTATTGGATACCTTCCACAGGCCAGGAACTCTCTTAGGTCCTAGGAAGACAGACTATAAATAAGATTCTCAAAGTTCCTATGCTTACGGAGGTTACATTCGTATTACGTCTTGTTCTTATACAACACATAATAATACAAAAGTTAATTGCAGAGAATAGTAAATATACAAAGGAAGCACATAGGCTAAGAGATAAAGGGAAGCTGTCAAGGGCGCTTTAGATGGGGAATGGGTTCTTAACTGTAAGTGACCTGCCCCACCGTCACCCGGCGGACATTTGGCAATGTCAAGAGACATTTTTGATGGTCACAGCTTGGAGGCAAGTGCTACTGGCATCTAGTAGGTAGAAGCCAGGGATGTTGCTAAACACCCTACAGTGCACAGAACAGCCCCCCAGTGCAAAGAATGATCTGGTCTCAAATGTCAATACTGCTGAGATTGAGAAACCCTGAGACAGGGTTATGAAAGAGTCTTTTCAGTGAGGGCATATTTGGGCTGAAAGCTCAGGGAAGACAAGGAACAGGTGGTGAGAAGAGCTGACCAGAGAGCATTTCAGAAAGAGGAAAGAGTAACTGCAAAGTCCAGAGGAGGGAAAGAACTTCTTGTATTCAGGGATCAGAAAAGAGACTAAGTGGCTCGAACGCTGTAAGGATGGGAGTTGGCACGTGCAGAGATTAGAGAAGTTAGCAGCTGGATCATGCAAGATCTCAGAAGCCACATAAAGAGTTTGTCTTTTGTTCTAAGAATACTAGGAAGCCTTTCGAGCACGTTGAAATAAGACACACCCCCTGTTCAGTTTTACATTTCACATTTTAAAAAACTCATGCTGGCTGCATTGTGGATTAAAGAGAGTCAAAAAAAATCAGAAGGCTGTTGCAGTCACTCATGCAAGAGATGGTGACGATGAAGCTAGCGTTTTATCAGTGGAGGTGGAGAGAAACGGACAGGTTAGAAATATGTTTTGAAGGTAGAGCAGACAGCACTTAAAGACATCAGATCCCAGGGGTGAGGGGAATGAGAAATCAAGGATGACTCCTAGGATTTTAGCTTGAGGCACTGAGTAGGTGGTGGTGGTATTCATTGCGTTGGAAAGATGTCAGAAGGAACAGGTTTGGGAGGTTGTTTTGGACTTACAGGTTTGAGATGCTAATTTTTAATCCCAGTGAAGACGCAAGTATGCAGACAGCTGGATATACAGAGCTGAAGCTACCAGGGGAGGTCAGGGCTGTAATTATACATTACGACATATTTTATAATATAATTCCTTCTTGCCGAAGTCTCCCTGCATATCATCCTGCATGCAGATGTCTGAAGTCTCAAGGAGGCATTTTCTCAGAATCATTGCCAAGCCCAACACTGTGATATTTTTAAAGTGTCACATCCTCCATGCCCCTCTTTGAATTGAGTCACATGTTTAATTAAGTTTCCACTTACAACCCAAGTAAAGGGGAAAAATAACCCTAAAGAATTGATCCGTGCCTGCAGAGCTTTGGAATTTTGGGTGGCTACCCTCTCTGCTTCTCTCTTCCTTTTTTCTTTCTTTCTTCTTTTTTTCCCCACTTATTTGCTAGGGACATTTTCATTCTCAAGTTGCGATTAGTTTTGGAAATGGGGGTCTTGCAGTAGAGAGTATTGAGGAAGCCCTGTCCTTAAGAAGTCGTCTTCACAGATGATGACACCGAATGGCTGAAATGCAGCAGAAGGATCTCTGGGTTAAGATTCAGAAGACCTGAGCCCTCAGCTTGGTCTGACCACATGCTGACCATGTCAACTCAGGGCATGGTCTCAGCTTCCCGTTCTTTTGTAAAAATGGGAGAGAATCCCCAACAGATGTGAGTCTTTGTGAAAATCATATGAGATCATATGTCTAAGGTCTGGAAAGCATGCACATTTTACAAAAGCCATCACTTCCCACCCCCTCCGTCAACACCACCCTAGTCCAAGCCTCCGTCATATGTTCCCCTCATTACTACAATAGTCTCCTGACTGCTCTCCATGGTACTGCTTCTGCCCACTCCCCCTGCCAGTCTGTTCTTAACAGCCAGAATGATGCCATGAAAATATGTCACATCATGTCACTTCCCTGCTCAAAACCCTCCCACTCATATCCCACTCACCTCCCACTCACGGTGACATTTGGAGTCCCCATGCAACGCTACTCACCATTCAACAGCTCTCACTCATATCCACTGCTGGGTCCACATCAGCCACACGGCCTTCCTGATATTCCTGGAACACATTAGGTGGAATCCCACCCTGAGGCCTTTGTACTTGCTGTTTCCTCTGTCTAGAAAGTCTTTTTCTCAGATAGCCACATGCTTCCAATGCCTTCTTCCCAGGGAGGCTTTTCCTAATCACTTTAACACAGATTGCCGTCTCTCCCTCCTGCCCCACATGCACTACATTCTCCTTCTATACTTTAATTCACAGCCTTTTACTTCCAAACATTTCATTTTCCTTTTCTTCCTTTTTTTTTTTTTTTTTTTTTTTTTTTTGAGAGAAGGTCTTACTCTGTTACCCAGGCTGGAGTGCTGATCATAGCTCACTGTAGCCTCACATTCCTGGGCTCATGTGATCCTCATGCCTCAGCCTCCTGAGTAGCTGGGACTATAGACTCAAGCTACCATGTCAGGATAATTTTTAAATTTTTCTGTGAAGACGGGGACTAGCAATGTTTCCCATGCTGGTCTCAAACTCCTGGCCTCAAGCAATCCTCCTACCTCAGCCTCCCAAAGCACTGGGATTACAGGTATGAGCCACCACGCCCACTAGCCCATTTTCTTTATATCTTCTGTGTTTCATCCGTCTTCATCTGATGAAAAGTAAGCTCAGTGAAGGACGGGATTTTTCTCCGCATTTTGTTCAAGACTGTATTCTGTAGCACCTACAACAGTGCCTGGCACAGAGAGGTGCTCAGTAAATATGAAGAATGGACAGATGAGAAAATGGAAACACAAAGAATTAAAATAACTTGCCCAAAGTTACAGATGGGAAAAGGGTGTGTTCACATTCAGACACCTCCACTTCCTCAATGGACAGTTGAAGGTGATCATATCTTTCCCGGTTTCCTCACCGGTCATTGCTAGAAGCCAAAGGAATGCGTGCCTCGTCCCCTCAGAGAGCGCACACTACCATACAGAGTACGTGGAATTCAGTGAGGCCATGAGAGGGTGCCATTAATAGACTTGTGTGTGTGTGCCTGGAGTACATCCCTTTGGCTCATCTAATTTCAGAAGTGGACAACTTCAAGCATGCTCCAGGTGTCTCACCTCTGAGCTATATACAGGTATATACACCTCTGATACATATACCTGTGTATATCCCAGCTTTTCTATCCCTGGGCTTTCTTGGAGCAAGGAAGTTTAGTCCATGTGCAGAACAGCCTGGCTGTGAGCAGGAGAGGATGTTCCCGGGGCACCTGTCCCTCAACCAGTGGGTGTGGGTGGATAAATGTCCCAAGGTCCTACCCCTTGCTGGGGTGAATCTGCAGCACATGCTATGTGGCATGTACCTGCATTACAGAGGATCTTTGCAGGATTGCACCCCTCTGTTTTTCACTCCTGGCTCTTAAAAAGTCGCCTCCAAAACATTACCTGTCTCCACACCCATGTTGCAGACTTTGCTTTCAAGGAAACCCAAACTAAGAGAGTGCCTGCAAAGGGGAGCTCGGGATTTGGGTTCAAAGTTTCAAATCCCAGTTTGGCTATTTGCCCTTGTGACCCTGAGCATGTTCCTTAATTTCCTCAAAGTTCCCCAGCAAGTGGAGACACTAATATGAAGCTTGCCTGCTTGGAGGAAGAAGGAATATAGGCAGTGACCTGTCCCGATGCCTGAGATATAATATGCTATTAAAAAATGGATGCTGATATTATTATAATTACACAATTGTAATTATTGATATCAATAGTTATTATAAATATGTATTTTTGTATGTGTTCATGATGTGATCGGTCATGTTCATGTGTATGCATGTGACTCAACATTCTTATTATTCATCTTTGTCATTCAAGTTAAGAAAGAGGACATGGGAAGGCAAAAAAGGAGGTATATCCTAAGGGAGGAGATTAAAGGACCCCTAGACTCCACAAATTCCTAAGCTGTCATGGTAGAGAGCAGTCTACTGCTTTTTGAAGCTCTTGTCAACCCCTCAGCATCTATACTTCTGACATATTCCATCAACCTGTGTATTAATATGGCTCATATTTCTAACAAGTGCTCACATGGTGCTTTCATTCTGGCAGAAACTGTTAAAACTTCTCTACACAGAAAGTTCTTTATCCCTATGTCACAGATGAGGAATGTGAAGCCCAGAGACGTTGGCCAACCTTCCCAAGGTCACACAGCTAGGAAAGGGCAAAGCTGGATTTGGACCTAGGTGGTCTGGCTTCAGAGTCCATGCTGGTAACCCCTCTGCTGTATTGCCTCTTTGCACAAGATCAGCAGAACCTAGGGAGCAATTTCGCTGCCATCCCAGCAGCCTAGGGGAAAGGAGACATCATAGTTTCCTTATTTGATAACTTCATAAACGATAGCATTTAGTGCAAAGCAGCGAGGTACTCCAGAAGAAGCCCAATCTACTCATCTCTGCAAATTCCATAGATGGCCTTGTCATGATGTCTGGGTTGCTGTGATCTCCACTTCTGCCTTCAGTTTGTTCCCATGGCCAGATGAAACCCCTTGGAAAGAACAAAACTATTATATTGCTGGGGTAGAGAAGAGTGTAGTTTTACAGAAGCTGAATGGCGTGGAACCATGCAGCTTAAATTATCAGGCTGTGATGGCTCCTATCACCTAGCAGGTGGAGAGAGAACAGCAGATAGAAAAGACTGACTTCTAGCAGCTACTGAGGTCTCTTCTCCTTGTCAACATAGACTTAGATGGTAGATTTGAAGTGGAAAATGGGAATTTGAAAATTAGAGACAAAGAATGGCAATTAGTTTAGCTAAGGCAAAAAGATGGGATTTTTAAAAAGCAACGTTTTGCTAAGTCAGTGCTGGGGAACAATTTTATCAGGAAGTAAAAATAAACTCTGGTTTATATGTATTATGGAATGTGTTATGTCTCTTCTACTGCATGTTGATGGCTACGTGAGGGCGAGAGCTATGCTGGGGACCAACTGGAGGTGCTATGTGGAGAATAGGGATGCAGGATGTGGAATCAAATGGTCTGGATTCAAATCCTGGCTCTTAGCAGCTGTGCAGGCTCAAGCAGATTTTGAATGCTCTCTAAACCTCAGTTTCCATGTCTGTTAAGTGGATAATTTGCCTTTTCTGTAGGGTTATACTGAGGATTAAATGACATAATCCACATATATTTAGCACAGTATCGGGCACATGGCAAGCTCTCAGTATTTGATAACTGTTATGACGACAAAGTTATAAAATGGGTGAAGTCCTGTGTCTTGTTTCAAAGATGGATACACACTGAAAGGATGAACAACAACAATGGTATATAACAGCATCAAAAAGAAGTCTAGGCCAGGCGTGATGGCTCATGCCTGTAATCACAGCACTTTCGGAGGCTGAGGCAGGTGGATCACCTAACGTCGGGAGTTCGAGACCAGCCTGGCCAATATGGCAAAACCCTGTCTCTACTAAAAATACAAAAATTAGCTGGGCATGGTGGTACACGCCTGTAATCCCAGCTATTTGGGAGGCTGAGGCAGGAAAATTGTTTGAACCTGGGAGGCAGAGGTTGCAGTGAGCCGAGATGGTGCCATTGCACTCCAGCCTGGTTGACAGAGCGAGACTCCACCTCAAAAAAAAAAAAAAAAAAAAAAAAAGATTTACACAGGAGACCATGAAACTTACTAATTGTTTTTCCTACTGAAGATTTTTATTCATTATGTATAGCATAATTGTTAAGAATATTGATCTTGACATCAGACAAACAAGGCTTTAAATTTTCATTCTATTTACTCACCGTGAGCAGTCAGTTGATCTCTCTGAACCTTAGTTTTCTTAACCATAAAATGGGGATGATAGTACCAAACCCCTGGGGTTGTATGAGGATTAACTGAGAAAGCAGATAAAAAGCATTTTGCATGTGAATTGATATTATTGATAATATTATAAACATGAATATGTGAATGTGTTCATGACTTTTTTCCAGGTTTATTTAAATATAACTAAAAAATATTGTATACATTATGGTTCACAATGTGATATTTTAATAGATGTACACATTGTGAAATGATTACCACAATCAAGCTAATTAATATATCTGTCTCCTCAAAGACCTAAAAATGGAAATACCATTTGACCCAGCAATCCCATTACTGGGTATATAGCCAAAGGAATAGAAATCGTTCTGTCATAAAGACACATGCACATATATGTGCGTTGCAGCACTATTTACAATAGCAAAGACACGGAATCAACCTAAATGCCCATCAATATAGACTGGATAAAGAAAACGTGGTACATATACACCATGGAATATTATGTAGCCGTAAAAAGAATGAGATCATGTCCACTGCAGGAACATGGATAGAGCTGGAGGCAATTATCCTTAGCAAACTAATGCAGGAACAGAGAACCATATACCACATGTTCTCACTTATAAGTGGGAGCTTAATGGTGAGAATACATGGACACGTATAGGGGAACAACACACAGTGGGGCCTGTCAGAGGGTGGAGGGTGGGAGGAGGAAGAGGATCAGGAAAAACAACTAATGGATACTAGGCTTAATACCTGGGTGATGAAATGATCTGTACAACAAACCCCCATGACACATATTTACCTATGTAACAAAACTGCACATTTGCCCCAAACTTAAAAGTTAAACTATATATATATGTGTGTATATATATACATATATACACACATATACACGTATATATACACAATATGTATATATGCACATATACATGTATATATAGTGTATATATAGTATATATACACTATATAGTATATACTTATATATAATATATGTATACATATACTATATATACAAGTATATGTAGTATATACTACATATACTTGTATATGTAGTATATACTACATATACTTGTATATGTAGTATATACTATATATACAAGTATGTATAGTATATAGGTATATATAGTATATACATACTTGTATATATAGTATATATGTGTATATGTGTGTGTATATATACTTATATATACATATATACGCATGTATATACACATATATACATGTGTATATATATATTTACATTGTGTGTGTGTGTGTAGTTTGCTAAGGATAATTGCCTCTAGCTCCATCCATGTTCCTGCAATGGACATGGTCTCATTCTTTTTACAGCTACATAGTATTCCATGGTGTATATGTACCACGTTTTCTTTATCCAGTCTATATTGATGGGTATTAGGTTGATTCTGTGTCTTTGCTATTGTACTATATATGTAGATATATACACACACATAGTATATATTTATGTTTACTATATAAATATATATAGTATTTATATATACTATATATATTTATATATAGTGTATATACACTATATATTTATATATAGTGTATATACACTATATATAAATATATAGTGTATATATACTATGTATTTATATATAGTGTATATATACTATATACTATGTATTTATATATAGTGTATATACTATATATTAAAAATATACCATAAATAAAAAATATATATAATATACATATACACTATATATAGTATATATACACACTATATATTTATATATACACTATATATACTATATATTATATAAAAATATATACTATATATTATATATAATATACATATACATTATATACAGTGTATATATACACTATGTATTTATATATACTATATATTATATACACTATATATTTATATATACTATAGTAGTGTATATGTATACTATATATAGTGTATATATACTAGTATACTATAGTAGTGTATATATAGTGTATATATACTAGTATATATACTAGTGTATATATACTAGTATATATACTAGTGTATATACACTAGTATATATACTAGTGTATATACACTACTATATATACTAGTGTATATACACTACTATATATACTAGTATATATACACTACTATATATACTAGTATATATACACTACTATATATACTAGTATATATACACTATATATATACTATAGTAGTGTATATATAGTGTATATATACTCTATATATATACTATAGTAGTGTATATATAGTGTATATATACTAGTATATATACACTATATATATTTATATATATATAAAATCACCTCACATACTTAATATTTTGGTGGTGAGAACATTTAAGATTTATTCTTTTAGAACTTTCAAGTATACAATACATCATTAACTATAGTTGCCATGCTCTACATTAGGTCTCCAGAATATATTCATTCTGTTTAACTGAAATTTTGTATCCTTTGACCAACATTTCCCTATTCTCCCACCTCCACCCCACCCCAAGCCCCTGGCAACCACCATTGCTTTCCTTCTACTCTTTGCTTCTGAGTTTGACATTTTTAGATTCCACATGTGAGTGAGACAATGCAGTGTCTGTCTTTCTGTGCCTGACTTATTTCACTTATTATAATATCCAGGCCCATTTATGTTGTTGCAAGTGACAGAATTTCTTTTTTTAAGTCTAAATAGTATTCCATTGTTTGTGTGTGTGTGTGTGTGTATACACACACGTTTATACATGTCTATCCGTGGGTCAATGGATAAAGAAAATATGGTATTCACCCATTAATAGACACTTCAGTTGATTCCGTATCTTGACTATTGTGAATATTGCTGCAATGAACATAGGAATATAGATATCTCTTCAATTTCATTTCCTTTGGACATATGCTAACTAGAAGACTAGAAGTGGGATTGCAGGATCATATGGTAGTTCTATTTTTAATTTTTTGAGGAATCTCCATAATGGCTGTACTAATTTACATTCCCATCAACAGTATACAAGGGTTCCTTTTCTCCACATTCTTGTCAACACTTGATATCTTTTGTCTTGTTGATAATAGCCATTCTAACAAATACGGGGTAATCTATCTCATTGTGGTTTTGATTTACATTTTCCTGATGATTGGTGATGTTGAGCATTTTTTCATATACCCGTCAGCCACTTATGTGTTATTTTTTGAGAAACGTCTTTTCAAGTCTTTTGCCCATTTTAAAATTGGGTTGTTGTATTGCTATTGAATTGTTTGAGTTCCTTAAACATCTTGCATATTATCCTCTCATCAGATGTATGGTTTGAAAATATTTTCACCCTTTATATAGATTGTGTTTTCATTCTGTTGATTGTTTTATTTGCTGTGCATAAGCTTTTTAGTTTGATACAATCTGATATGCCTATTGTTGCTTTTTGAGTCATATCCAAAATATCATTGCCTGGACCAATGTCAGGAGGATCTTTTCCTGTGTTTTCTTCCTGTGGTTTATAGGTTCAGGTGTTATGTTTCAATCTTTAATTAATTTTAGTTGATTTTTGCATGTGGTGTGAGATAAGAATCCAATTTCATTCGTCTGCATGTGGATATCTAATTTTTTTCAACACTACCTATTGAAGAGACAGACCTTTCCCTTGTATGTTCTTGGCATCTTGGTTGCAGACAAATTGACCATAAACATACGGGTTTTTATGGGCTCTTTCTTCTATTCCATTGGTCTATATGTCTATTTTTGTGCCAGTACCATGCTGTTTTGATTAAGATAGCTTTGCATTATGGTTTGAAATCAGGTTGTGTGATGCTTTCAGCTTTGTTCTTCTTGCCGAAGACTGTGGTGGCTGCTCAAGATTGTGGTAGCTATTTGCAGTCTTTGATGATTTCATACCAAATTTTAGGATTTTTTTTCTATTTGTGACAAATGCCAATGACATTTTCATAGGAATGGCATTTAGTCTATGGATAACTTTGGGTATTATGAACATTTTCACAATATTAATTCTTCCAATACATAAACACAGACTATCTTTTCATTTATTTGCATCTTTTTCAATTTCTTTCATCACAGTTCTACAGTTTTTAGTGTACAAATCTTTTACCTCCTTGGCAAAACTTATTTCTAAGTGTTTCATTTTTTTGTAGCAATTGTAAGTGGACTTTTAAAAATGTTTTTGGATTATTTATTAGTGTATAAACACACTATTGATTTTGTATATTGATTTTGTATCCTGCAACATTACTTCATTAATTAGTTCTGACAATTTTGTGATGGAGTTTTAGGACTTCATAAGATTATGTTATCTGCAAACAAAGATAATTTTATTTCTTCTTTTCCAACTTGGGTGCCTTGTATTCCTTTCTTTTGCCTAATTGGTTGGGCTAGGACTTCCAGTACTATATTGAACAGAAGTGTCAAGAGTGGACATTCTTGCAGTGAGCCGAGATCGCACCACTGCCCTCCAGCCTGGGCGACAGAGCAAGACTCTGTCCCAAAAAAAAAAAAAAAGGACATTCTTGTCTTATTCCTTGTCTCAGAGAAAAAGCTTTCAGCTGTTCACCAGTTCACCATTGAGTATAATGTTATCTGTGGGACATTATTATGCTGAGGTACATTCTTTCTATACCTAATTTGTTGAGAGTTTGTAGTTAGGAAATTACGTTGAATTTTTTCAAATGCCTCTTCTGCATCTGTGGAGATGATTATATGATTTTTATACTTTATTCTACTAATGCGATGTAGAATACTTACTGATTTGCATATGTTAAACTATTCTTGCATCCTGAGATAAATCCTAATTGATGATGGTGTATAATCCTTTTCATGTGCTGTTGAATTCAGTTGGCTAGTATTTTGTTGAGGATTTTATCTATGTTCCTAAAGCATGTTGATCTATACTCTTCCATTCTTGTAGTGTACTTTTCTGGCTATGGTATCCGGGTAATGTCAGTCTTGTAAAATGAGTTTGGAAGTGTTTCCTGTTCTTTAATTAAAAAAAAAAAAAAAAGAAAATGTGTTGTTAATTATGCTTTAAATGTTTGGTAGAATTCACCAGTGAATGTCTTGGGTTTTTCTTTGTTGGGAACTTTTTGATAATTGATTTAATCTCCTTACTGATTGTTGGTGTGTTCATATTTTCTATTTCTTCATAATTCAGTCTTGGTGGGTTGTATGCATCTAGAAATGCATTCATTTCTTCTAGGTTATCCAATCATTCATAGTATCTCTTATGATGCTTTATATTTCTATATCAGCTATAACATCTCTTTTGTTTATAACTTTGAGTTCCTTTTTTCTTAGTTTCTCAATTTAGTTTATTTTTTCTTAAAAAAAAAAACAACTCTTAGTTTCATTGATATTTTCTATTGTTTTCTACCCTCTTTCCACTGACTTTGGGCTTAGTTTTTCTTCTTTTCTAGTTCTTTGGGGTATAAAGGTTGGTTGTCAGGTTGTTTACTTGAGATCTTTTTTTCCTTAATGTAGGTATTTAGCACTATAAACTTTTAGAACTGTTTTTGCTGCATTCCATAAGTTATGGTATGTTGTACTTCTGTTTCATTCGTCTCAAGTTATGTTTTGATTTCTCTTTTGATTTCTTCTTTGACTCATTGATTGTTTAGGAGCATGTCATTTAATTTGTCAGTATTTGTGAATTTCCCTATTTTCCTCTTCTTACGGGTTTCTAATTTTATACCACTGTAATTAGAAAAGATGCTTGATATGATTTCAGTCTTCTCAAATTTATTAAGATTTGTTTTGTGGCATAATCCTCCCATTCTGGAGAATGTTTGGTGTTCACTTAAGAATATTTATTCTGTTGCTGTTTGATGGTAGGCTCTTCTTGTCTGTTAGGTCCATTTGGTTTATAGTGTTTGTCTGTTATTTTCTTATTGATTTTTCTGTGTGAATAATTTATTGTTGAAAGTGAGGTATTGAAGTCTCCTACTACTTTTGTTCATTTAGTTTGGTTTGTTACATAGATATAGTGCATGATGCTGAGGTTTAGGGGATAGATCCTATCACCCAGGTAGCTAGCATACTACACAATAGGTAGTTTTTCTTTTTTTTTTTTTGTTATTATACTTTAAGTTTTAGGGTACATGTGCACAGCATGCAGGTTAGTTACATATGTATACATGTGCCATGTTGGTGTGCTGCACCCATTAACTCGTCATTTAGCATTAGGTATATCTCCTAATGCTATCCCTCCCCCCTCCCCCAACCCCACAATAGGCCCCGGTGTATGATGTTCCCCTTCCTGTGTCCATGTGTTCTCATTGTTCAATTCCCACCTATGAGTGAGAACGTGCAATGTTTGGTTTTTTGTCCTTGTGATAGTTTGCTGAGAATGATGGTTTCCAGTTTCATCCATGTCCCTACAAAGGACATGAACTCATCATTTTTTATGGCTGCATAGTATTCCATGGTGTATATGTGCCACATTTTCTTAATCCAGTCTATCACTGTTGGACATTTGGGTTGGTTCCAAGTCTTTGCTATTGTGAATAGTGCCGCAATAAACATATGTGTGCATGTGTCTTCATAGCAGCATGATTTATAATCCTTTGGGTATATACCCAGTAATGGGATGGCTGGGTCAAATGGTATTTCTAGTTCTAGATCCCTGAGGAATCACCACACTGACTTCCACAGTGGTTGAACTAGTTTACAGTCCCACCAACAGTGTAAAAGTGTTCCTATTTCTCCACATCCTCTCCAGCACCTGTTGTTTCCTGACTTTTTAATGATGGCCATTCTAACTGGTGTGAGATGGTATCTCATTGTGGTTTTGATTTGCATTTCTCTGATGGCCAGTGATGAGGAGCATTTTTTCATGTGTCTGTTGGCTGCATAAATGTCTTCTTTTGAGAAGTGTCTGTTCATGTCATTCGCCCACTTTTTGATGGGGTTGTTTGTTTTTTTCTTGTAAATTTGTTTGTGTTCATTGTAGATTCTGGATATTAGCCCTTTGTCAGATGAGTAGATTGCGAAAATTTTCTCCCATTCTGTAGGTTGCCTGTTCACTCTGATGGTAGTTTCTTTTGCTGTGCAGAAGCTCCTTAGTTTAATTAGATCCCATTTGTCAATTTTGGCTTTTGTTGCCATTGCTTTTGGTGTTTTAGGCATGAAGTACTTGCCCATGCCTATGTCCTGAATGGTATTGCCTAGGTTTTCTTCTAGGGTTTTTATGGCTTTAGGTCTAACATTTAAGTCTTTAATCCATCTTGAATTAATTTTTGTATAAGGTGTAAGGAAGGGATCCAGTTTCAGCTTTCTACATATGGCTGGCCAGTTTTCCCAGCACCATTTATTAAATAGGGAATCGTTTCCCCATTTCTCCCATTTCTTGTTTCTGTCAGGTTTGTCCAAGATCAGATGGTTGTAGATATGCGGTGTTATTTCTGAGGGCTCTGTTCTGTTCCATTGGTCTATATCTCTGTTTTGGTACCAGTTACATGCTGTTTTGGTTACCGTAGCCTTGTAGTATAGTTTGAAGTTAGGTAGCGTGATGCCTCCAGCTTTGTTCTTTTGGCTTAGGATTGACTTGGCAATGCGGGCTCTTTGTTGGTTCCATATGAACTTTAAAGTAGTTTTTTCCAATTCTGTGAAGAAAGTCATTGGTAGCTTGATGGGGATGGCATTGAATCTATAAATTACCTTGGGCAGTATGGCCATTTTCATGATATTGATTCTTCCTACCCATGAGCATGGAATGTTCTTCCATTTCTTTGTATCCTCTTTTATTTCATTGAGCAGTGGTTTGTAGTTCTCCTTGAAGAGGTCCTTCACGTCCCTTGTAAGTTGGATTCCTAGGTATTTTATTCTCTTTGAAGCAATTGTGAATGGGAGTTCACTCATGATTTGGCTCTCTGTTTGTCTGTTTTTGGTGTATAAGAATGTTTGTGATTTTTGCACATTGATTTTGTATCCTGAGACTTTGCTGAAGTTGCTTATCAGCTTAAGGAGATTTTGGGCTGAGACGATGGGGTTTTCTAGATAACAATAGGTAGTTTTTCAACTCACAACCCCTTTCTTCCTCCCAACTTTAGTAGTCAACAGTGTCTATTGTTCTCATCTTTATGTCCATAGTTACCCAATGTTTAGTTCCTACAGTGTGGTATTTGGTTTTCTGTTCCCGTGTTAATTGTTAGGATTATGGTCTCCAGAAGCCTCCATGCTGCTACAAAGAACATGATTTCATCCTTGTTTGTGGCTGTGTAGTATTCCATGGTGTATGTGTATCACATTTTTTCATCCAATACACCATTCATGGGCATCTAGATGGATTCCATGCCATTGCTATTGTGAATAGCACTGTGTGGAAGAAATGAGTTTATGTGTCTTTTTGGTGGGAAGATTTATTTTTCTTTGAGTATATACCCAGTAATGGCATTGTTAGGTCAAGTGATAGCTCTGTTTTAAATTCTTTGAGAAACCTCCAAACTGCTTTCCACAGTAGCTGAGCTAATTTACATTCTAATCAACAGTGTATAAGCATTTCTTTTTCTCCACAGTCTCACCAGCATGTGTTATTTGATTTTTTAATAGCCATTCTGACTCGTGTGAGATGTTATTGATTTGCATTTCTCTGATGATTAGTGATGATGAGCATTTTTTCGTGTTTATTGGCCACTTGTATGTCTTCTGTCTTCTTTTGACAAGTGTTCATGTCCTTTGCCTACTTTTTAATGTGGTTATTTGGTTTTTGCTTGTTGATTTGTTTAAGGTCCTTTTAGATTCTGGATGTTAGACTTTTGTCAGATGCATAGTTTGCTAGTATTTTCTCCAATGCTGTAGATTGTCTATTTACTTTGTTGATAGTTTCTTTTGCTGGGCAGAAACTTTTTAGTTTAATCAGGCCCCACTTGCCAACTTTGTTTGTTGTTGTTGTTGTTGTTGTTGGAATTGCTTTCAGGGACTTAGCCAAAAATTCTTTGTCAAGACTGATATTGAGAAGGGTATTCCCTAGGTTTTCTTTTAGAATTTTTATAATTTGAGGTCTTACCTTTAAATCTTTAATCCATCTTGAGTTAATTTTTGTATACGGTAAAAAGTAGCGTTCCAGTTTCATTCATTTGCATATGGCTAGCCACTTATCCCAGTACCGTTTACTGAATAGTAGAAAGTCCTTGCCCTGTTGCTTGTTTTTGTTGACTTTGTCAAAGATTAGATGGTTGTAGGCGTGCGGCTTTATTTCTGGGTTCTCTATTCTGTTCCATTGGTTTATGTGCTTGTTTTTTTTTCACCAGTACCATGCTGTTTTGGTTACTGTGGCCTTATGGAATAATTAGAAGTGTGATACGTCTGGCTTTGTTCTTTTTGCTTTGGATCGTTTGGGCTATTCGGTCTCTTTTTTGGTTCCATATGAATTTTGGAATACTTTTTTTCTAATTCCATGAAAAGAACATCGGTAGTTTCATATAAATAGCATTGAATCTGTAAACTGCTTTGGGCAGTGTGGCCATTTTAACAATATCGAGTCTTCCAATCCATAAGCACAGATTGGTATTCCATCTCTGGTTTCTTTCAACAGTGTTTCGTAGTTCTTGTAGAGATCTTTCACCCCCTTGGTTAGCTGTATTCCTAGGTATTTCCATTTTTTGTGTGTGGCTATCATAAGTGGGATTATGTTTTTCATTTGACTATCAGCTTGAACATTATTGGTGGGTAGATGCTACTGATTTTTGTACATTGATTTTGTCTCTTTGTCCTTCTTAATAGTTGTTTGTTTAAAGTCTGTTTTATCTGATGTAAGAATAGAAACCTGCTCTTTTTATTTTCAACTTGCATGGTAGATTTTTTTTTTTTTTGGTCCCTTTACTTTAAGCCTGTTTATGTCCCTTCATGTGAGATGGGTCTCCTGAAGACAGGAGAGAGGTGGCTCTTGTCTTTGTATGCAGCTTGCCACTTTATGTCTTAAGTGGGGCATTAAGTACATTTACATTCAGGGCTATTATTGATACATGAGACTTTGATCCTGTCATTGTGTTGTTAGCTGGTTATTATGTGGACTTGTTTGTGTAGTTGCTTTATAGTATCTATGGGATATGTGCGTAAGTGTGTTTTTGTAGGAGCAGGTGCCATTTCTTGGTTTCCATGTTTAGCACTTTTTAAAGGAACTCTTGTAATGCTTGTCTAATTGTAACCAATTCCCTCAGCATTTGCTTGTCTGAGAAGGATTCTATGTCTCCTTTGATTATGAAACTCAGTTTGGCAGGACATGAAATTTTTGGTTGGAATTTCTTTCCTTTAAGGATGTTGAAAATAGGCTCCCAATATTTTCTGGCTTATACGTTTTCTGCTGAGAGGTCTGTCTATTGCTAGCCTGATGGGGCTCCCTTTGTACATGATCTGATCTTTCTCTAGCTGCCTTTAAGATTTTTTTTTTTTTTTGCATTTATCTTGGTGACTCTGATGACTGTGTGTCATGGGGAGGGGCATCTTTTGTAGTATCTAGCCAGGGTTCTCTGTATTTCTTGAATTTGAACGTCAATCTCTCTAGTGAGATTAGAGATTTTTTTTGTGGACTATATCTTCGAATATATTTTTCAAGTTGCCTACTCTCTTTCTTCACTCAGGAATGCCAACGAGTTATAAGTTTGGTCTGTTTACCTAATCCCATATTTCTTGGAGGTTTTGTTTATTTTTTTAAAATTCCTTTTTCTTTATTTTTGTCTGACTGAGTTAATTTGAAAAACCAGTGTTGGAGCTCTGAGATTCTTTCCTCAGCTTGGTCTATTCTACTATTAATGCCTTCAACTAAATTAAGAAATTCTTGCAGTCAACTTTTCAATTCCAGAAGTTTAGTTTGGTTCTTTCTTAAAATGGCTCTTTTATCTTTCAGCTCTTGGATTATTTTACTGGATTCTTTGGATTGAGTTTCAACTTGCTTCTGAATCTTGATGAACTTCCTTGCCATCTATATTCTGAATTATATGTCTGTCATTCAGTCATTTAATAGTGGTTAAGAAGCTTTGCTGAGGAGCTAGGGGGCTCATTTGGAAGTAAGGGGACACTGTGGCTTTTTGAATTGGTAGAGTTCTTGCACTGATTCTTGCACTGATCTGGGAGGGCTGGTGTTCCTTCACCTGTGGTGTAAGTTGAGTATTTTCAGTTGGGCTCATTTCTGGATGTTTTTAGAGGGCCAAGACTCTGTACAGGATCTTTATTTGTGGGTGAATGCCTGTGCTTGGTTTCACAGGGGTATTAGCCAAATAATTTTTGGCAATGTAGTTTGAGCCATGATCCAGTAGATGGTGCTTAAAAGTAATGGCCAGCAGGTAGGGTCTTAGCCACATGGCTCTTTTATATTTCCTCACGTTTGCAGGCATGCTCTGCCATGGCAAAGGGAGGTGGGGAGAGATGACCTCCTCACCAGATCCACTCCTAGGCCTTCGAGGATTCCCCTCTTATCACTGGCTCCACACCCATATTTATTTTGTTAGGTGTTCAGGGCCGCAGGGCTCCCTTGGGCAGAGGCTGTGGCAGAGAGACAGGCCACATTCTTTCTGGACTGGCCCTATAGAGGGAGGTATGCCTCACTCCCTTGCTGGCCCATGAACTTGGACATTTTACCATTCTCAATGCTCTGAGTGTGGGGGCTCCTCTCCCACTCAAGTGCTGGCCACAGATCTCAGCTCAACACTCATAAGCTGTGTACCATGGCTGAGACATCAGGATGGCCCAACTGTGGTGGTGGATTCGAAGTGCTCCCAGGTTGCTGGGAAAGTGTTCAGGTGGAGCAAAGCACTCAGGCTGGGCAGTGGAGGCTGTGCTATGCAGCCTGTGCTGTGCCCGTGGTCCTGTGGGGCAGGCAGGCAGGAGTCCTGGGAAAGGCTAGTGGGCAGGAAGGCTTATAGAACAGATGTTCCCCAGTCCTGTGGGAAGGCTGACCCTGCTCTCTTCTGGCCTGGTGGTCAACTGGGGCTAGAACCTCTTGGAGGGAGATGGGGAGCACTGGGGTATGCGTGTCTGTGGCTACACTCTGCCAGAACTACATTTCTGGGTTCTCTGGTGGCTGAAGCCCTGACTCTGCCTATTCCCTGGGCAGATCCCCCTGCTAGCTCACATGTCCATGGGGAATGTGGGGCCCCCTGTCCTATTACTTTTGTATTGCTGTCTGCTTCTCCCTTTAGTTGTGTTAATATTTGCATTATATAATTAGGTGTTCCATTGTTTAGCACATATATATTTAAACTTATTATATCTTCTTAAGTGAATTGACTCTTTTATCATTATTTAATGACCTTTTTTATCTCTGTCACAGTTTTGGACTTAAACATCTATTTTTTTTTCCTGATGTACATATCTCTGCTTTTTTGATTACTATTATATTTTATTTATTACAGCTTATAGAATATCTCTTTACATCCCATAATTTTCAGCTTATATGTGTACTTAAAGCTAAAGCAAATCTCTAGTAGGCAGCATGTAGATGGGTTTTGGCTTTTTACTCCATTCAGTCACTCTGTCATTTGATTAGAGAATTTAACTCATTTACATTTAAATAATAATTCATAGGTAAGGACTTACTACGACCATCTTGTTAATTGTTCTCTATTTTGTATTTCTTTTGTCTCATCCTTCCCCTCTTGCTATCTTTCTTTCTGTTTTTTGTTTTTGTTTTTGTTTTTTTTTGTAGAGGTATGCTTTGATTATTTTCTCTTTATCTTTTGTGTATACCCTACATATTTTTTCTTTGTGGTTGTTATGAGGCTTACATAAACATCTTGTAGTTATAATAGTCTATTTGAAGCTGATAACTACTTAATTTCAACTATATACATAAATATCTACAGTTTAACTTCTCCTTCCCCCGTATTTGTGTCATTGATGTCACAATTTACATCTTTTATGTATCATGTATCCATTAACAAATTATTGTACCTATATTTTTAATACTTTTGTCTTTTAACTTATATAGCAGAGTCAGAAATTATTTATGGACCACCATTACAGTTTTAGAGTATTCTAAATTTGACTATATTCTTACCTTTGCAGTGAATTTTATACTTTCATATATTTTCATATTGTTAACATCCTTTTCTTTCAACTTGAAGAACTTCTTTTAGGGTTTTTTTTTGTAAAGCAGATCTAGTGGTGCTGAGTCCCCACAGCTTTTGTTTGTCTGGGAAAGTCTTTATCTTGCCTTTTGCCTTCATTTTGGAATGATGACTTTGCTGGGTATACATTCTTGGTCGATAGTTCTTTTTTTTTTTTTTTTTTTTCCCAGCACTTGGGGTAATATCATCTCATTCTCTCCTTGCCTGCAAGGTTTCTGCTGAGGAGTATCCTTAAAGTTTTAGGGAGGTGCCCTTGTATGTGTGATCAGTTGCTTTTCTCTTGCGACTTTCAAATTGTCTCTTTGACTTTTGAGAATTTTATTATAATGTGTCTCAATGAACATATCTTTATAGTGAACCTACTTAGAGTTCTTTGGGCTTCATGGATCTGGATGTTCATGTTCCTCTTCATCCAGACATAGGAAGTTTTCTGTCATTATTTATTTAAATAAGCTTTTTGCCCTTTTTTTTCTTTTTCTTCTCCTTCTGAAACTCTCATCATGCATATATTGGCTCACTTAATGGTGTCCATAGTCCTGTAGGTTTTCTTCCTCATTTTCCCTCAGTTTCATTCTTTTTGTCACCTTAACTGGGTAATTCCAAAGGACCTGTCTTTGAGCTAATTCTTCTTCTGCTTAGCCAAGTGGATGTTGAAGCTCTCTGAAAGTTTTCAGCTCAATCATTGCGTTCTTACTCAAAAATTTCTGTTTGGTTCTATTTTTTTTATTTTTATCTATTTACTGAACTTCTCACTTTGTTCATGAATTATTTTCCTGATTTGACATAGCTGTCTATCTGTGTTCTTCTGTAGCTCACTGAGCTTCTTTAAGATGATTATTTTTTATTGTTTGTCAGGCAATTTGGAGATCTTCATTTTTTTAGGGTTGGCTACTGGTCCTTTATTTTGTTTCTCTGGTGATGGTATGTTTCTCCAATTACACGTAATCCTGTAGTCTTGCATTAGTATCTGCACATTTGAAGAGGTAGATACCACTTTCAGTGTTTTAAGGACAGGCTTTGGCAGAGAAAGCACTTTACCAGTTAGCCTGTTTAGAGACTCTGGTCAGGCCATCTTGCAGGGTTCATGGGTTGCCTGCTGCTGGAATCCTCAGGTGGGCTGGGAGCACTGATGTCTACTGGAGTGGGTCTGAACCTTGAGTCTCTTGGAGCCTGGGCCTCTGGAGACAAGCCTGGAGCCTGGGATGGGCCTGGAGGCTGAGCCCACAGTAGTGGGCCTGGGTCCTGGGCCATCAGGAGCAGTCATAGAGGTTGGATTTATAAGGGGCTAGCCTAGTGCTAGGTGGGCCAAGAGCCTAGGTCTGGAGTGGTCAGCCTGGAGCCTGGGCCTGCAGGTGCTGGCCTGGTGCCTTGGGCTGTGGGAGCCAACATAGTGCTGAGGTAGGCCTGGAGGCTGAGTCTACGGGGGCAGGCCTGAGTCCTGGGTCTGTGGCAGTCATCCTAGAGCTTGGAACTATAGGGGATTCTCTGGAACTAGGGCTTGGTCCCCAGGCTGGGGCAAGCCTGGAGCCTGAGTCTGCCAGGGTAGGTAGGCCTAGATCCATGGGATTATGAGGGCTGACCTGGTGCTGGGGTGGGCCTGGAGGCTTGATCTATGGGTACTGGCCTGGGGCTCAAGGCCATGGGGCTGACCTGGTGCCAGGTTTCACTGGCACAGGCCTGATGTTTGGGTCTGTGGTGAATTCACATGTTCACTTCACTCTCCTTCCCCCACAGGGAGCACACGTGTCTCTGCACTGTGCTGGGGTTGGGAAGCGGTGGTGTGGATAATGTGAAACTGTCCTTATTACCTTCTTCAGTGCATTTTTTTTTCTTATTTGTGTGCTACACCTAGGTGCTGTAATCTCTCACTTGAATCTCTTAGCTCTTGTGAAGGTATTTTTATGCATAGATTGTTGTTTAAACTGATGTTTCTGTGAGGGGATGAGAACCAGAAAGTTCTATTCTGCCATCTTGCTGGCATCGCTCCCCTAGGGACCTGTTCATGAATTCGTGAATTCGTATAGCGTGTAAAAGTATTATTTTACACCCAAGATAATCAATTTTACTAGTTTGTGTTCGGGTCTGCATGATGGAAATCAATCAGCCAACTCTGAGTGGCAGAGTCTGTTACATTGGTGTTAAAAACCAGTCTATGTTATATTGGTGTTTAAAAAGATTCTGAGGTCACATTTGGGATTAGTAGGAAAGAATGCTTTGATTGATTAGTGATGTCTTCCATTGGCATGGAAATGGAGAGGGACACTTTTTTGAGACAGGCTCTGGCTCTGTTGCCCATGCTAGAGTGCAGTGGCACAATCTCTGTTCACTGCAACCTCTGCCTCTCGGGCTCAAGTAGTCTTCCTATCTCAGCCTCCTGAGTAGCTGGGCCCACAGGTACGCACCACCACGCCTGGCTAATTTTTTCTTTTTTCTTTTTTCTCTCTTTTTTTTTTTTTTTGAGACGGAGTCTCGCTCTGTCGCCCAGCCTGGAGTGCAGTGGCGCGATCTCGGCTCACTGCAAGCTCCGCCTCCTGGGTTCACACTATTCTCCTGCCTCAGCCTCCCCAGTAGCTGGGACTACAGGCGCCTGCCACCATGCCCGGCTAATTTCTTTGTATTTTTAGTACAGACGGGGTTTCACCGTGTTAGCCAGGACAGTCTCGATCTCGTGACCTCGTGATCCGCCTGTCTCGGCATCGCAAAGTGCTGGGATTACAGGCATGAGCCACCGCACCTGGCCCTGGCTAATTTTTTTCTATGTTTTTGTAGAGACATGGTTTCGCCATGTTGCCCAGGCTGGTCTCAAATTCCTGAGCTCAAGCAATCCACCTGCCTCGGCTATCTCTCCTGTTCCCCATCCCTCAATCTCTTTCTGTCTCTTGTTCTTGAGTGTGTCTTTTTTAGATCTTGTTCTCCCTTTGACAGCTTCCTCTTTGGCTTGGCATTTTATCATTTTTCTTAGCAGCTGGGATTCTCTGGCATTTCTAAGTCTATTTTAAACACTTTGTAAGGTTTGATTTAGAGGAAAATCTGATTTCCATAGTTTGTGCATTGGTACCTCAGGGGACTCTTAGTTTGATTATGTCCTGAAAAGGTTGTGATAAGCTCGGGCTCTGGCAGCCCTGATAGGCGTGGCTCAGTGGCCTTTCAGCTGCTTCCATCTGGGTTATTGAAGCTTTTTAGCAGCCCAAGAGCACCAGGCTCTTTACCTCATTGTAGAGTTCCAGTCTCATTTTTGTTTTGCCAGAACCCCTGGGGAACTGATTAAGATGATTCTGATTTAGCAGGTCTGGGGTGAGACGTGAGATTCTGCATTTCTAACAAACAGACGTGAGCCAGGCGCGGTGGCTCACGCCTATAATCCCAGCACTTTGGGAGGCTGAGGCGGGCGGATCACTTGAGTTCAGGAGTTCAAGACCAGCCTGACTAACATAAAGAAACCCCGTCTCTACTAAAAATACAAAATTAGCCGGGCGTGGTGGCACACACCTGTAATCCCAGTTACTTGGGAGGCTGAGGCAGGAGAATCACTTGAACCTGGGAGGCAGAGGTTGCAGTGAGCCAAGACTCTGCCATTGCACTGAAGCCTGGGCATCAAGGGCAAAACTTTGTCTCAAAAAACAAAAAAAAAAAGGAAAGAATGCTCCTTCTGTCTTGAAACCTAATTTCACCTGGCAAATGGAGTTTCTCCTCCTATGTGCTCCCTTTGAACCCACATGACATTTTATAGTATTTCTGATGGGCTTCTTCCCAACTTGGACTCTAATAATCTCTATTCATTTCTCTCTCCAGTTAGACCGAGTGCCACTCCAGGGCTTGCTATGGAAAAATAAAAACGCAAAATAGAACATTCCAGGCCAGTACATGTAGTAAAGACCGTCATGATGCCAAACATGACAACTTTGGCCTTCTCCAGTGTAGTGATGCCTGCTGCTCTGAAAAGCAGCAGCCTTATTTACAAGAGCTAAAGCTTGGAAGCAACCTAAGTGTCCCTGGATGGATGAACAGATAAACAAAATGTAGTATACACATACAAGGGAATATTAGTCTGCCTTTAAAAAGAAGGAACTTCTTTTTCTTTCTTTCTTATTTTTTGAAGACAGAGTCTCACTCTGTCACCTAGGCTGGAGCGCAGTGGTACGATCATAGCTTTCTGCAGCTTTCAGCTCCCAAGGTCAACCAATCCTCCCTCCTCAGCCTCCCAAGTAGCTGTGACTATGGGTGCATGCCTGGGTAACTTTAAAACAAAAAGTTTGTTTGTTTGTTTGTTTGTAGAGATGAGGTGTCACTATGTTGCTCAGGCTGGTCTTGAACTCCTGGGTTCAAGCAATCCTCTTGGCTCAACCTCCCAAAGTGCTGGGATTACAGGCATGAGCCACCATGCCCAGCCAGGAAGGAACTTCTCACACAACGCTGCAACATGAATAAACCCTGAGGACATTATGCTAAGGGAAATAGGCCAGTCATCAGAGAACAAATGCTGTATGAGTTCACATACATGAAGTACTTAGAACAGTTACATGCATACAGATAGAAAGCAGAATGATGGTTTCCAGGGGCTTGGGGAAGGGGAAATGGGGAGTTACTTTTTAACAGGTGTAGAGTTTTTCTTAGTTTTACAAGATGAAAAGAGTTAGTGAGATGGATGGTATGATGGCTGCATATTATTAAATTAATGCTTTCTTTTTTTTTTTTTTTTTTTTTTTAAGACAGGGCCTTGCTCTGTCTCCCAGGCTGGAGTGCAGTGGTACAGTCTCGGCTCACTGCAGCCTCAACCTCTCAGGCTCCAGCGATCCTCCCACCTCAGCCCCCCCATGTAGCTGGGATTACAGGCATGCACCACCACGCCTGGATAATTTTTATATTTTTAGTAGTGACGGGGTTTCGCCATGTTGACTAGGCTGGTCTTGAATTCCTGGGCTCAAGCCTTGACCTCCCAAAGTTCTGGGATTACAGGCCTGAGCCACCGCGGCCAGCCTATTAAGGTATTTAATACTTCTGAACTGTACAATGGTTAATTAAATTAAGGTATTTAATACTTCAATGGTTATGCTGGTAAACTATATTTTATGTGTTTTTCCCTCTCCCTTGTGGTTTTCCCCTGCGGCCTCCTACAGGGAAAAGAGGGGAGGACCTATATCCTTCTTCGATATCATCTCTATCCTACAGCTTGTAGGATATGGTACAGCTTGTAGGATATTTTTACCACAATAAAAACTTCTTATAAAAAAGCATTGGCCTTGCACAAAAAGGCCAGAGTTCTAGCCTTTCCTGGCAGGAATACACTGCACTGGGATCCCTTGAAGCCCTAGACTAGCCCCCACATGCAGGAGATTTGGAATATCCTCACTAGACATCAGATGAACAGGGGTCTGTGTGACTTCTTTAATTTTCCATCACATATCTTGTCTTGCCCTAAGTTTCCATTCCTGCTGCTGCCTGGGACAGATATACAAGAGAAACTGGTTTTACATAATTTTTTCCATTGTAAATTTATTCTTGGCAAAGAATCAAACATTCAAATTCTTTCACAGGATTATTTCCTTTCTCTAGGTCTCTTTCTCCTTTGTCTCTTGAAGGTGACATCTGAGCTCGTAAAACAGTTTGTTTCTGTCCGTGTGCTGGACATCGTCCTTTCTGGCCTCTGCTGCAGAATTCTGAGTCTCAATTTGACCCTGAGTGCCCTGCACTGGTGTCCACTGCAGAGAAACTGCTCCTTCCTGATATTTTTTGAGCATGTTACTGATCGCCCCTGCTGACATTATAGATCTCTGCCATTGGCTCTGGTCCTAAGGTTACCTCATTCTGTGATCTCCTCACCCTAAGCCAGGCCTCTTCTGCTCTATCAATTCTCTCAGAAATTCTGAGCCCCTCTAAAAGGAAGGAGGCAGGGAATCTTGTTAGGTTTTTCTGCAGGATGGCTATGTTGGGGAGACACCATAACATCCTAATGTATGTTTGGGGTTGGCAAACATTGGCCCAAAGGTTGCTTGTCACATGACTTTGTAAATAAAGTTTTATTGGAACAGAACTACACCCACTCAGTTACATATTGTCTATGGCTGCTTTTGCAGTACAGTGGCAGAGTTGATCGTGGTGACAAAGGTTATATAGCCCGCAAGGCTGAAATATTTACTGTCTGGCCCTTTGCAGAAAAAGTTTGCTGGCCTTTGGTCTTTGTGGTGGAGTCCAGGGTTGTGCAGGACATATCCTATGTGGCTGTATGTGACAGCCCTGGCTTTCTGTACCAGGCTGTAGCAGGTGGGACTCAGTGAGGTCCCTCAGCCATGGCTGTCTGACCAGTGCCATTCCATACCAGCTTGGGGAATGTTGCAAGGAGTTTCTTTTTGGATTCCAGCTTTCTGTCATACCATTTGGGGTTTCCAACTTCAGGTTGAGGGACCCAGCAGTATCTTCATCTTTCTTTCTCAAAATGTCTTTTTTTTTTTAATCGGAGTCTTACTCTGTCACCCAGGCTGGAGTGCAATGGCGTGATCTTGGCTCAATGCAACCTCCGCCTCCTAGGTTCAAGCAATTCTTGTGTCTCAGCCTTCCAAGTAGCTGGGACTACAGGCACATGCCACCATGCCCAGCTAATTTTTTTGTATTTTTAGTAGAGATGTGGTTTTGCCATGTTGGCTAGGCTGTTCTTGAACTCCTGACCTCAGGTGATCCACCCGCCTCAGCCCCCAAAGTGCTGGGATTACAAGTGACAGCCGCTGTGCCCAGCCTCAAAATTTCTTTCTCCTGTGGTTTTCCCCCTTTGGACTCCCACCCCTTACCCAGGGTTGGAACTACTTATCTTCTTTGTAACAGGTAGGACCTATTGCCTTCTTCTATATCATCTCTATCCTACACCTTGTAGAAAGTCTCTATGCTCAGAACTCTAAGGGTTGCTTTAGAATTTAGAAATATACCTTTCTCTCTCAAGAAAGCCTGGACTATTGTCTCATGATGACATTGACAGCCTATTTTGGAAATCAAAAAGTAGACATTGCTCCATTCTCTTTGTGTTTCTGCTGCAACTATCCCAATCCTTCCCAAAGCAATAGATTCTCTGACTGGGGAGTGGAGGCATTCATATATTGCAAGAACATCATCTTCTTTGAGTAATTATATCTGGCACTGTGCCTGGATCAGAGTAGCTGATAAACAAATATGATCTTGTGGCAGAGGGCTACAGGAGAGCGTTAGCATCTAGATTCCTTGATCTAATATGAAACCCATCCAAAGAGAATGAGATATTCTGAAGAATCATTCTTTACAGCAGGAAACAAATTCTGCCTTAGAGACTGGACCCTACATTTTGTGAAAGGGACCTACGTCCATGACATCATCCAGGTGTGGCCAAGCCGTCATGGCATTCCAGGGAAGCTCCGGTTACAGCGACACGTTCTCACTTTTCCTTTATTTGACATTCAGCCACTCATATGGGGATAGCTTTCTTCAGTCACCATAACCACAGCCAGCTTACACATTTGTCTCTTTGAAATTAATCACTCTTTAGACTGCTTATTCTAATTTCTGCTTCCTGAAGGCAGAGCCAGCAGGCATCTCCACATGGTTTCTCCGTTCTCCAGCTGGAATTTCTGAAGGACACTGTGAGGCCACTTCCATTTCCGCTGCCTCCTGACCCTCTTCTACATCCCAGAGTCTACCTTACATCCCATGAATGGACAAGCAGTGGCGTATTTCTGACTGCGTGGGCTCCCTGCTGTCACAGGGCACTTGCTGTCAACAGAAAGCAGGTGTTCTGGGAAGACTGGAGGAGCTGTGGGTGGTGAGGCAGACACTGGGCTTGGCTCTGGAAGCCCGAACTCAGAACATTAAGCTGAACCATCTGAAGCTCCTCCACGAAACAGGTTGTGCAAGTCTCTCTTCCCCTCTCTATGGGTTCATGCATATTCATAATTAGAACAACTCCAGGCCGAAGATAATGATTCATGCAGGAAGCGCCATTCTGAACATTATTATCTGGGAGTGACAAATGAATTTCTAATTTAACATGTGTATTGCACAAATAGATCACAAGAACTTTAAAGTCAAAAGCATCCTTTGGAGTCATGCAACTTCTGTTGTAATGTAGCATAAAATGATAGGGGAAGGAGGGGATCTCCCACTGGTGGGCTGTGCATAGCGGTTCCCTTCAAAGCAGAGGAGAAATAAAAGGGGGTGAGATTTCAGACACTGTTTGAGTCTACTATAGAAGCCAATAACAATGACCAAGAATAAAACAACAGCGGCAACAACAAAAAGCCAGTCACTGGCACAAGCAATACCATTGTTTTGAGTTATTATTTGAGAATCAACAGAATCCTCCCTATTTTTTTCTCCTGCTGACAACAAAAACGGAGGGTAGGCCAGTTGGGTTCATTGGTTGCTCAATAAGAATCAGAGGGCAGTAACTGCAAGACAAGGCTGAAGAGGGAGTGGTAGAATTGATTTCAGCTGCATTTCAATACCGGTTTCATGTTGAAATACTAATTTATAGCATGATAATATGATAGCAACACTGTCTGCCTGGCTGCAAAGACTGGCCTCTTCCAGCTTGTCAAAGCTGACAGTCAAGCGTAAAATGGCTACTGTCAAGGAATGGCAGCTCTTTTAAGACTAGGTCTTAAGCCATTTCTTAAAGTTCTGTATTTCTGTCATCACTGTCCCCCATCTCCCAATCCCTTTTCTTTCTAAATGCTAGAATAAACTGGCTGCGCATTCTCCTACCTACTACAGCATTCACCAAAAGCCTGTGGAAAATTCATACTGTACTAGAGCCTGGATATCTACTTTTGATCTCTCTCTTCTCTTCTCTTCTCTTCTCTTCTCTTTTCTTCTCTATTTCTTTTCTTTCTTAGCTAATAATGTATTTTAAAATGTTAACTAATCATTTTATGTAAAATCAGGTGTTATGGTAAAGCACATTACTTTCATGACCTCATTAAATTCTCACAACAACCTATGACAAAAATGCTACCCTGATTTGCTGATGATAAAACTGAGGCTCTAAGACATAAAGTGACTTGCCTGAATTCACAGAGCCTGTGATGGCAGAGGCGGGAGTAGTGGAAACCAGTTCTGCTTGACTTCAGAGGCCACTCCTGTCATTCCTAAACTGGATATATTTAATGCTAAGGAGGCATGTCTTTTTAAGAATGTTTGTACAAATATTGATCGAGTGGAACCCTGGTGAAGGACCTTGCTTGGAACTGGACAGTCAGGTTCCCTGGCTTCCTCCAGCTGCCTCCCACCCTGTGGGATGAGGTGGTGACAAAGCCCAGAGGATGTGCTTGTCTGGGACGTAGATCCCTTCTGCACCACAGTCTGGGACAGTCAGGCTTGTACCCTCACCACTCCAGCCCCCAAGAAAAGCTTCTGCTTATCTCCCAGTAGTCCCATCTCTGAATGGAGCACCTCCCCATAACTAAACCAATCACTGAGCCGAGGCAGGGGATGTGGGGTGCTCTGATTGGCCAGGTAGTCACATGCCCCTTCCTGGAGTTGTGAACGAAGTTACCACCATCTGAATATGGTAGTCTGAGAATAGGAGAAAGGTCCCGGTACTTGTCAGGATGACTAAGGTGTTGTGAGCGGAAGCGGGAAGAAATGCCCCCAACACATGTCCACTGGACTTGTGAAGCTTCCCTGCCTCTCAACTCCTCTGGGCTCTGGGGGTTGTAGGAGAATGTATTAGGAAGAGACACAGAAGGGAATGGAAGATAAGAGAAAAACAGGCCAGGTGTGGTGGCTCACACCTGTAATCCCAGTACTTTTGGAGGCCAGGAGTTTGAGACCAGCCTGAGCAATATAGTGAGACCCCCATCTCTCCAAAAAAAAAAAAAAAAAAAAGCCAGATGTGGTGGTGCTTGTTGTCCCAGCTACTGGAGAGACTGAGGCAGGAGGATTATTTGTCTTCAGGAGTTAAAGCCTAAAGTGAGCTGTGATTGTGCCACTGTGCCCTAGCCTGGATGACAGAGCAAGACCCTGTCTCTAAAAAATTAAAAGGAGGGAAATACAAAAGAATCCTTTCAGGTAAGTTTGCTCGCAAACAGAAACACAGAAGTGGAGAAGAATCCGAAAGGGTTCCCTTCAACTCAAGAGAGAGAACACTTAGGAAGAAATGCTTTAAAAGCCCAGTTCTTGGTGGCAGGCATCTATAATCCCAGCTACCCAGGAGGCTGAAGCAGGAGAATCGTTTGAACCCGGGAGGCAGAGGTTGCAGTGAGCCGAGATCGCACCACTGCACTCCAGCCTGGGCGACAGAGGAAGACTCTGTTTAAAAAATAAAAAAAATAAAAAACAGTCCTGTCTTATTCCCACATCCCATACCCTGCAGACCATACAGCAGTGGTCTTCCACTTTTGTCCTACAGATACTTACGGCTGTGGGAGGGTTCCTCAGGATTCTCTGCAAAGAATGAGGTTGGGGTTCAGAAGGAAGCTCAATGGGTAGAGCTCACACTCTCTCCTGGTTTCCACCAGAGCATTCTGTCATTCGTCACCCATTTCTGCATTTTTCCGTAAGACCTTGTTGTTTTGTTTTGTTTTTTGTTTTGTTTTTGTTTTGTTTTGTTTTGTTTTTGAGGTGGAGTCTCACTCTGTCCCCCAGGGTGGAGTGCAGTGGTGTGATCTCCACTCAATGCAACCTCTGCCTCCTGGGTTCAAGCAATTCTTCTGTCTCAGCCTCCCGAGTAGCTGGGATTACAGGTGCCTGCCACCATGCCTGGGTAATTTTTGTACTTGTAGGAAAGACGGGGTTTCACCATATGGGCCAGGCTGGTCTCGAAATCCTGACCTCAGGTGATCCACCCACCTTGGCCTCCCAAAGTGCTGGGATTACAGGCGTGAGCCACCGCACCTGACCCGTTGTTGTTTTTACAAAGGCCCCTTTTCTAACCATTGATCTACACTGAGACAGTCTCAAGAATAAAGTCCTCTGGTTACCTCCACCTGGTGCTTGGTGTGGTGCCTGACACACAGTAGGCACTTAATAATTGTTGAGCTGTCAAATGGAACTGAAATGCTGAATGACAACCAGGGAAAGGTAATTATGAGTGAAAACTTAAGTCATAGAAAGGAAACAGCCTTCTGGGCACACAGAGAACTGATGGTTTCCTTCATGATGGTATGACCATAGACAAGGCTTGTGTACAAAGGCAGCCTACCATTTACTGCATCCTTTTTGGCTGCCACAAAGCTGTAACTAAACAGGCTCAATGTTTGTGATGGGCCACTGGTTAATAATAATAACACTCTTTGAACATTTATCAAGAGCTAGATGCTTGTGCATTATCTCATTTAACTCTCATAATGGTCCCATGAACGGGGATGTTATTATTATGCTCCTTTTATAGGCTGGAAGAGATTAAGTAACTTGGCCAAGGTCACATACCTCTAATAGGGCAAGGCCAGGGTATAAATCCACCGGTCTGATTCCGAGGTCCCAGTAGTTAAGCACTCTGCTACTTACTTACCACCAGACAGTGCCGTAACGGTGGTCCCGCAAAAGTATTTTATGGTTTAGAGTTCAGGCAACACCAGTGAGAGGAACACTGATAAACTGAAGTATCTATCTTAGGAAACCAGATTAAAGTGATGGAGGGATGGATGGAGAACCTTTGTGGGAGTCTATTTATCAGGGAGAATGTAAAGACTCTCCAAGAAAAAGAAGCACCTTCAGGTCCCTTGGGGACCATCAGGGAAGCAAGAACTAGATTTGTTTTGGGTAGTTTCAGGCAAAACCTAGAAACATCATGTTTTCTCTAAGTTGACAGATTCCCATACAGTATGAAGGACACACTTTCTAACCCAGGGCTTCTCAAACATGAGTGTGCTTATGTATCACCTAGAGAGCTTGTTAATGCACACACTTCTCACCCCCTACTCCCCAAAGAGATTCTGATTCAGTACATCTGGGATGGAGTGTGACCCATTGCGCTTCTGATAAGCTTCTACATGCTGCCGTTGCTATGCTTGGGACCACACTTTGAGTGGCAATGCCCTAGACCAGGGGTCAACAAACTTTCTCTGTAAAGAGCCTGTTGTAGTTTGGATATTTGTCTCCTCGTTTTGAAATGCGATCCCCAGTGTTGTAGGTGGGACCTAGTGGGAGGTGTTTTGGTCATAGGGGTCCCTCATGAATGGCGTGGTGTAGTCCCTGCATTGAGTGAGTTCTAACTCTATTAGTTCATGAAAGATCTGATTGTTAAAAAGAGCATGGCACCCCTCCTCTCCCTCTCTTGCTCTCTGTCTCACCGTATGACTTGCCTGTTCCCTCTTTGCCTTCCTGCATGGTAAAAGCTTCCTGAGGCCTCACCAGAAGCAGAGGCTGGTGCCAGGCTTCTTGTACAGCCTGCAGAACCATGAGCTGAATACACCTCTTTTCTTTATAAATTGCCCAGCCTCAGGTATTCCTTTATAGCAATGCAAAATGGACTAATACAGAGCCTGAAAGTGAATATTTTAGGCTCCTGGAGCAACTACTCTTTCGTTGTCATGCAAAAGCAGCTATACACACAATGCAAATGAATGAGCATGTGTTTCAATAAAACTTTATTTACAAAAATAGGCAGCTAAGCCCTTCTGCATCAGTTAGTGTTCTTAGCTGGCAGCAACAGTAATCACTTGCTAGTTTAATGAGGAAATGAGTTGCTTACAGCTTCCCTTTGGGCTACCACAGAGCCTATTACCACTATCGGCTATGACCTTGTCCAGTGTTACTGATGCTTTAAGAAGACCCAAGTCCCAGGCCGGGTACGGTGGCTCATGCCTGTAATCCCAGCACTTCGCGAGGTTGAGGCAGGTGGATCACCTGAGCTCAGGAGTTCGAGACCAGCCTGGCCAACATGGTGAAACCCCATCTGTACTAAAAATACAAAAATTAGCTGGGCATAGTGGTGGTGGGCACCTGTAACCCCAGCTACTCAAGAGGCTGAGGCAAGAGAATCGCTTGAACCTGGGAGGCAGAGGTTGCAGTGAGCGAGATTGTGCCATTGTACTCCAGCCAGGGCAACAAGAGCGAAACTCCATCTCAAAAAAAAAAAAAAAAAAAAGAAAAAAGAAGACCCAAGTTCCATTTCTGCCAAGTCATCTGCTGCATCTTAGATCTCAGTTGGAAGACAGCAGAAGGGTGTGTTCTGTCTCTGTGCCTGTGTGTGGCTGACACACATGAGCAGCTCTCCTCTGAAGCTGAAAGTTGTCTACGCTCAAGTTACTCACAATGGGCAAAGTATGATGGCGGGGCATTCCCATCAAGTGCATTATTCCATCCCTCTTGCACCATACACATCAACAGAATCTGCCTTATGCAAGAGCTGATAGACACAGACAGACATGCAGGGTGCTGGGAGAGCCTTGGGTCCAATCAGTCAAGTCATCAAGTCTGGGACAAGGAGCATATAATTGAACCCAACTCAAGGCTAAACTCAAGTTCCAGGAATGCCAGAAAATCCTTATCCCCAAGAAGCAAGCCTTCATCAAATTCAGTTTAACTGTTAGTTTGAGTCATGGTGGCAGAATAACACTTGGTTGGTTATGAAGTCAAAAATAATCCCAAACGTGGTCTCTTGGATAAGAGCTGGAACCCTGGGTCATGAGGGAACTGATGTGTATTCTCTTTCTAGGGAACTCCTTGGGCTGGTTTCATCTACTTAAAACCATAACCACTGGTAATCTCTCTATTCTCTCTCATACACACACACATGTATGCTTGTACACACACACACACACACACACATATAGATTCTTACTAAAGGATATTTGTTGCAGACACTCAGAGAATCTCCAGAGAAACCTGGCTTAGAGGCCGTGGATTCAGGGACATCGCTGAAGCCCTGTGCTGGTGGAATTCCCACTACTGATATCTTGGGCCAGGAACTGCATTCTGGGAACCAGCACTGGGTATGGGATGCTATTGCAGGGATCTCTGCCTTTGTTATCTCTGGAAGCTGGACATTCCTACTGCTCCTCTCTCTGGGATAGATTCTGTGTGGGAACTAGAGGAAAAGTCTCACACAGATATGACTGAATGGTGGACCCTAGGCCACACGCCTCTGCCCTCTCTGCAAAAGCTTCTAGGAAAGAAAGTTTTAAGCTTCTGCCACAACGTGGGTAAACGCTTCAAACAAAAGAAGGGTACACAGAGAAGCAGAGTGATAAAGAGGGATTTTACAGTGCCCATTATACCTCTGAAGACAGCTTTTTGGGATTAGGTTCAAGGCATCTAGGGCCTTTATCCAGTGTTTTTTCTACTTTTCCCCTCTTTTTAAATTAACCTCAAGTTTCTTCCATATCCTTTATGTTCTTGAGCCCTCAACACACACACACGCACACACACACGTCAATTTCTCCCCACTACCAGTCCCTCAGGAAGGGCTTAGCTTAGTCATAAAAATGAAACCCAAATTATTAGCAAAGCAAAATCTGCTTCTCTCTTTCCTAGAGAGAAGGAATCCTTCAGTTCTCAAAAACACATGGTAGATAGTTTAAAAAAAAATTGAGAAAGAATTTGAGTTGAACAATTCATATTATAATACAAAGTTAACTTCAGACCATTTAATAATCAAAATTGCAAACAAATTGGTTTGAATTGCAGCAAGACAGCTTTCTGGTTTTCAGGCTTGTGGCAACATGGAATTCCTTTCCTGGAGGTCTTTAGGGAATTGGCTGGATCTACCAAGTGGGCTGGCATAATTATGTCATCTTTGGGTGTGGAGATAGAGAAGTGGATCAAATAAATGGCGTTCACATGTCCCTGCTAGCCTTGCTTGAATACTGTTAGTGTGTAGTACCCACATCTAGGAGATGGCGGTGCAACGCTAAACATTCCAGCGAGGACAGACTCACAAGTGCTCGCATGTCTGGCGGGAGAGGCAGAGGTAGCTGGAACCAGGAACAAAGGACTGAGTCTGGGGTTGGGTTAACTACTGCTTATTTTATTTTATTTATTTGTTTTGGTACAGAGTCTCATTCTATTGCCCAGGCTGGAGCGCAGTGGTGTGATCTCAGCTCACTGCAGCCTCCGCCTCCCGGGTTCAAGTGATTCTCTTGCCTCAGCCTCCTGAATAGCTGGGACTACAGGCGCTCACCACCATGCCTGGCTAATCTTTGTATTTTTAGTAGAGACAGGGTTTCATCATGTTGGTCAGGCTGATCTCGAACTCCTGACCTTGTGATCCGCCCACCTCAGCCTCCCAAAATGCTGGGATTACAGGCGTGAGCCACTGTGCCGGGCCCTACTGCTTATTTTATCCCCAATCCAACCCCAATAAGTTTTGCGATTGCTAGAGACCCCGAAATTGCCAGAGTAGTTGAGGAGTACTCTAACATTTTCTCTGACTCTTAGTTAAACATTGGCAACTTTTCCGAGACTATAAATTTGACTGGGGCCCAGTCATTTCTCTCTTTGTAGTCTGTGAAAATTAACTGAGTCTGCAGGGGCTGCAATCACCGCCAAAAACCGCAAGTGTGGGCTGTTCCTCCACACTGACAAAAATAACAGCTAATTAGGCTGCAACACCCCAAGGAAAGTGAACTTACGCCACCAATCGCAGGATGGCATGCAAAACGTCGCCATGGCAACCGGCATTTACAGCTCTTCAATTTTAATATATCAAAGGCTAAGGGTAATTTCCCAGCGAGAATACAGGAGGGTGGATTTCTCCCCTCTTTATTCTTTCTGCCGGTCTTTTGCCAGTACTGTGAGTACGGAAGCTCTATTCCTGTGGCAACAGGTTTTAAAGGAAGAGAGCCTTGTGAAAGCATGAAACACCTGGCGTGGGACTCCTGGAAATGCTGGGTGCCTCGGGAGGCGCAGGGAGAAAGGCATGGCATTCTTCTTAGAGTCTAGGCTGGGTGAACAGAGCTGAGAGGAGGTGAAGTGTGAGCTGTGAACTTTTGCCCTCAATTGCAGGTGAACTTTCTGTTTGCATAAAAATGTTTTCTTTTCTCCCCTCTTTCCCCTCCTCTGCCCTTCCCTCCCCTCCCCTCTCCTCTCTCCTCTCCTCTCCCCTCTCCTCTCCCCTCTCCTCTCCTCTCCTCTCCTCTCCCCGCTCCTCCCCTCCACGCTCCTCCCCGCTCCTCCCCTCCACGTTCCTCCCCTCCCCTCTCCTCCCCGCTCCTCCCCTCCCCGCTCCTCCCCTCCCGTCCCCTCCCCTCCCCTCCCCTCTCCTCCCATCACCTCCCCTCCCCTCTCCTCCCATCCCCTCTCCTCCCATCCCCTCCCCTCCCCTTTCCTCCCATCCCCTCCCCTTCCCCTCCCCTCCCTTCCCCTCCCCTTTCCTCCCCTCCCTTCCCCTCCCCTTTCCTCCCCTCTCTTCCCCTCCCCTCCACTCCCCTCCCCTCCCCTTTTCTCTTGTTGGCCCTCCCTTTCTTCCTCCCTCCCTTCTTCCTTTTTTACCTCCCTCCCCCTTTGCTTTTCCCCCCCTTCCCTCCCTCCTTCCTTTTTTCCCTCCCTCCCTCCCTGCCTTCTGGTTTTGTTGAGTGCTTACTCTGCATCAGGCACCCAATAGGCATCGTCTCATGTATTCTTCATCACTACATTGTAAGATAAACACTATTCTTATTTTAGAGATGAGGACATTGGGATGACGAGTCCTAATCTCACAGTAAGTTGTAGAGCCTGGATTTAAGCCAAGTCAGACCTCACAACCCAGGACCCTTGTAGTTTGTGTCTCCTCTGTGTTACTAAAACTTACTCTGTAAAAATGGAGGTGGATATATTTATTAAAGTCACTGCCATCACCATCATGAGTTGGTCAGTGCTGCATAACAAACACCCACACAATCTTAGTGGCATGCAGTGAATAAGCATCTACTTTGCTGCAGGATAGGATGACTCTGTGATTATTCTGGGACTCAGGCTGAAGGGAAAGTGCTTCTCACGGTGATGATGTTAGTCACTAGAGGGTATGCCCAACCACATAAGTGCATTTCAAATCTATCCCATGTCATATCTGCTAATATCCCATTGGCCAAAGCAAGTCACGAAGTTGAGCCCAAAGTCAAGAATTGGGAAAGCATACCCTCCCTTTTGTTGAAGTAATTGCAAATTTTTATAGTAAGGGTGTGAACACAAAGAGAGGTAAAGAATTGGGGCCCCAGAATCATTCTAGTTCAGTAACTGTCTATCATCATCATCATCAACTTCATGATCTCTGTGAACCAAGCTTCTCTTTACCTTTGTCTGTGTTTAAATAATGAGTGATCTCTTTATAAAGTTCTTCAAAGAGGACAGTCATTCGATTGAAGCAAAATAATAATTATTATTGAGCACATACTATGTCCCAGGCACTGCACTGGGGCTACATCAGTGAACAAAACATCCCATCTCAAAATAACTTACTGGGAACCCTAAAGCCCTGTGCTAGACATTGAGAAGCCCGCAAGAAATTCTAACACATGCCAAAACCATTCTGAATATTTCACAGAAGATGTCTGTGCATCAAAATCACCTGAGGAACTTGTTAAACACCAAGACTTTCAGAACTTGCCACCAACAACTCTAGGTCATAGGGTTAACTCTCAACCTATCCCATTGAAAACCTTGCCCCAAACTACAGTTGAGTTGTAGGAAAAGAAAGTTACAGGAAATAAACTACACGTACACCCTCTTCTTTGGCTACTCCTTGGGCAACAGGCCTTGATTAAAGTTTCCAGTAAATCTCTTCCAGTCCCCAGCCCCCATTCCAACAGTGTTAGTGAAACCAGGAAGTTGGAGCCACATGTGATGAGGAAAGACACAGGTCCCCTCTTCCTGTCCCTCTAGGGAACCTCGGAGAGATGTGGGGCTCCAGTCATATTCTGGTTGGGAGTTGGAGACAATTTCGTTGAATTCTAAATTACCAGACTCTTTAGTGAGCGTCAGGATCATCATGATGACTCTAGAAGGGAGGTGTTACGAATTCTATTTTGGCAGTCAAAAATGCAAACACTGAGAGAAGGATCTCACTGTGATCACATAGCTAATGACTGAGTCCAAATCAGAGTCCAGGTGTTCTAAATTCTTAGGTTTCTATCCTAATAGCAGCACTGCCCATGAGCTCGGTGAGCTGGGGCTTATTACTTAATTTGACCCCAGTTTCCACATTTTTTAAAACGGGGAGTGGTGCACATAGTTATCAGTAATTTCCAGAGTTACATATATGCAAAGTGCTCAGCAGTGTACCTGGCACATGTAATAAATTTAACCAACAAACCCCAGTGGTAGCAGCATTTACCTGTGATTTTGTTATCAACAGATAACAAAAAGTAATTATCTCTTTACAGTTGCTAGAGACATCTCAAAATAGTATTAATGCTCATCACTTCTTCAAATTCACACTAATTTCAGACACACCATTAGTTCTTGTTATTTAGTAAATTAATGAGGGAGCACACTTGGCAAGAAACGAAACAAGGAGTCTTCTGGGGGGATGGAAAGATTTCCCATTTCTTTAGAAGTGTGAGTTACAGAACCATATCCATTTGTCAAAATTGTTCAGTTCAGAACTGCAGACTCGCATGTAAATTTTCCCTACGTTGAAGACAATGAAAAAAGGGCAAATGATGTTTTCTGCAAGTTTCAGGAATCTATAAATAAATTGCAAGGCCATGTTTAAACACTTTTTTTAGAGCACTTTATAGTTGTTCAATCATCAACAGTATTGATATGCCAATTTCAATGCTTTTTTCCATCATAATCTGTTTATTATAGCAGATCTTCTAAAGGTTTCTTAACAGTTACTGCACTAGAACACTAGGGCAAATTTGTATTGTAAATGTAAATTTTGCATATATTGGAGATTTCAACATCTTAAAGAATGGTAGGATATTGATGATCGTGGAAGGTGGGAAATGGGTGCATGGGTTCATTATACTATTCTATTTATTCTTTTTATGTTGGATGTTTTCCATGATGAATTTTTAAAGATATTTTTAATGATAAATTTTTAAAAGAACCTCATATATTAGTTTATCACAACTTAAAAATATTGTGATAACTGTAGTTCAATATAATTGGTTTTTTTCTGAGTTACTATGCATTTTACTTTATGCATAGTAAAAACCCACTTTTTCTGAGATGAGATCCCTAGGCTTCACCAGACAACTGAAGATTTCCTTGACACTAAAATATTTAAGATCTCTTCTCCCTTTTCATGCTTTCCCTGAGCATGAGTTTTCAGCTTGCTTCAGAATCACAGTCTTACACATTTGCAGAGAGCTTTACAGTTTACAAAGTCTTTTCCCCCATCTTCACGCGTCATCTGCCTAGCTGTGGGGACTTGCAGATGGTACCTAGGACTAAAGATCAAGTTTCCAAAAGTTGTTCCTTTGGAAAATGAGGGATTTACCAGAAATGCTGATAATCCCAGTATCTGAACCTAATAAGCAATCTGTGAGATTAATTAGATAAGAGGTGGTCAGTTTTACTTTGAGAATGATCTGAAAAATAGGCATTTTTAAAATTAACAAAAACAATTTCTTTGCATGTGCTGAAGATCTACGTTTGTAAACCTCAAAATCTTGAAAACACCTCACTTGTTCAGAAACAAATCAAGATTAAGGAAAATTTTGAATTATGAAATATATTGAATTATGAAATACGTTATTTCTTTTAGGTCCAACCAGACATTCTAACTAAGCTAACAGAATGTTGCCCTAGAGGTCTAGTGTAGTAACTTTTTTTTTTTTTTTTTTTTTTTTTTTGAGACGGAGTCTCGCTGTGTCGCCCAGGCTGGAGTGCAGTGGTGCGATCTCAGCTCACTGCAAGCTCTGCCTCCCGGGTTCATGCCATTCTCCTGCCTCAGCCTCCCAAGTAGCTGGGGCTACAGGCCCCCGCCACCATGCCTGGCTAATTTTTTGTATTTTTAGTAGAGATGGGATTTCACCGTGTTAGCCAGCCAGTACAGTCTCGATCTCCTGACTCATGATCCACCCGCCTCGGCCTCCCAAAGTGTTGGGATTACAGGTGTGAGCCACTGCGCCCAGCCTAGAGCAGTAACTATTAAGAAACCTTTAAGCCAGGTGCAGTGGCTCACGCTTGTAATCCCAGCACTTAGGGAGGCCAAAGTGGGTGGATCACTTGAGGTCAGCAGTTCGAGACCAGCCGGGCCAATGTGGTGAAACCCATCTCTACTAAAAATACAAAAATTGGTTGGGTGTTATGGCCCATTCCTGTAGCCCCAGCTACTTGGGAGGCTGAGGCAGAGGAATCTCTTGAACCTGGGAGGTGGAGGTTGCAGTGAGCCGAGATCGCGCCATTGCACTCCAGCCTGGGCAACAGAGTGAGACTCCATCTCAAAAACAAACAAACAAACAAAAACAAAAACCTTTTTTTAACCTGCTATAATGAACAGATCATGATAGAAAAAAAAGCGTTGAAATTGGCACGTCAATGCTGTTGACAATTGAACAACTATAAAGTGCTCTAAAAAAGTTTGTTTAAACAATCTCTTGCAATTTATTTATATATTCCCGAAAGTTGCAGAAAACATTATTTGCCCATTTTTCACAGTCTTGTTTGATATGTGTCCCTAGCATTTAGTGAAACAGCTAGTACAGGTATATGCTCCATAAATATTGACTACATTCACGAATGAATGGAAATTTTTGGAAAGGCAAATCCCAATTCTGGAATAGCTCAGATGGTTCATAGAGTCAGAATCTGTGAGTTTTCCCCGATTTATAGGCAGCTCTGCAGAGGGGTGGGGCAGATCTGGAATAAACAGAAAAGCAGCAGATGAAAAGGCCATTCTTGTTGCAATGACGCATTGGCACCATGCGATTATTTGTTTTCTCTAATACAATGTGAAAAGTGCTAATGGGATTAGCCTTTTGTGATGAATGCTAATATGATATGAAAACAAATGCTAATATGCAATGTGAAATTGCTAACAAAGGAGAAAATTGCTAATAAAATTCAATGGACCTCAATGACAAATGCTTCATACATCTCCCTCATCTGGCCAGGGCTGTCTCATAGCACAGAAATGAAAGTGAACTGGGGAGAAATGCTAGCCTACGCGTTGCTTGGTGAGATGTGGATTTCAGTCACTTCCTCTGAAATGACCTCTGTGTGGGTGGGGACAGGAGAGAAGGTACACGTTGGACACACACAAACATACACACACACACACACGAGCTCCAAGGGCTGAAGGCTCCAGCTAGAAGGTATCCGTACGGAAGCTACAACATGCCCCATTTCTGTTTTTGTATTAGGCCTTTGAACTTTTCCAGAATGCTCTCCTATCTTTTGCACTGATTGGCCTTACTGTAACCTGTGCAATTGGTTGGGCAGACACTTAGATTCTCAATCCCCCAAATGGAAAAGCAGCCACAGAGAGAATGGACTTGCTTATGGCCACTAAAATAGCAGTGCCAGAACTAGATTCCACGTCTTGGGTCCTTCCCTTCCCTGCCCAACTTGCCATTTCATCCTCTCCCTCCGTCTCCTCCCCTCCATTTTCCTTACTCATCTCCTTCCTCTCCATCACTCCCTTTCTTCTCTTTCTCTTCCCTTCCCCCTTTACCTTCTCCACCCCCCATCATCCACCTCTTTCCTCTCCCTCTTCTCTTTTTTCTACTTCTCCTCTGTCTCTTTGCCATATCCTTCTCCATCTTCTCTTTCTCCAAAACTGTTGGTTCTTGTCATTATTGTCCAAGGGTCATTGGTATACCAGCAAAAGCTAGTGATTGTGAAAAAGGACTTTGGTTGGGGAGCAGCCCACTTTGGAGTGAAAGTTAGAGTAAGAACCTGGCTCAGCTACTCACAAATTCTCTGAAGATGCATAACTTCTCTGAGCCTTGGTTTTCCCATCCGCAAAATGGGTTTTTTCAAAGGGTGGGTGTGAATGGTTAATATGACAATGTGAACTAAAATTGTGACTATTCAGAAGTGGTCATGTGTGCGGGAGAATACTGGGAGGGAATATTGAAAAGCTAGAAATAGGTTATTAGGGTGATTTTTTTTTCTTCAACAATGTCCTTTATTAATGTTTCGTGATATTTTTATGATTTTCAACACTTTCAGGCACAATGTCTTCTTTTCCTTTTGATATTTATTAAATGGTTTATTTTAAATTATTGTGGCTGGGCGCGGTGGCTCACACCTGTAAATCCCAGCACTTTAGGAGGCTGAGGCGGGTGGATCATGAGGTCAGGAGTTCAAGACTAGTCTGGCCAACGTGGTGAAACCCCGTCTCTACTAAAAGTACAAAAAAATTAGCTGGTTGCAGTGGCAGGCACCTGTAATCCCAATTACTTGGGAGGCTGAGGCGAGAGAATCACTTGAACTTGGGGGAAGGAGGTTGCAGTGAGCCGAGATGGTGCCACTGCACTCCAGCCTGGGTGACAGAGTGAGACTCCATCTCAAAAAAAAAATAAATAAAATAAAATAAATTATTGTGGATCATAATTGAACATATTTATGTGGTGCATATGATATTTTGATACAGGTAAATTAATATTTTGTGACATCTCTTTAGTATCCTGAAATAAAATTCATAGATTATATAACTCACAGACACACATAATTTCATAAAAATTTAATGCTCTAATGGTATTATAAAGGAGGTGGAAGGAAAGTAATTTATATAAAATAAGTATTTTAGTATGCAAATACTTGGCCATGAACATAGAAGACATGCTGAGGTAGGTAGATGCTTGTACCTATATTGGGAATCACCATAAATGGGAGAGCCACAGAAGCCCACTGATGCGGATGTGTTTTATTGATAACTATAGTACCATATGTGGCTTTGCCAGCAGTGGTGTTGTTTTCTGAATTGATGCGCAACAGCTCGTCAGGTTCTGAATAACAAAGTGAAATTTACAATTGAATCCCAGACCTAGAAGTTTCGTTGTAAATTAAGACCGTGAAAAATAACTTTGTGTTTATGGGAAAAATTGAGTTTATAAGTAGGTTTTTCATCTACCTGAGTGTCCAGAATGGCATTTGAAAGTTAACTAGGATATGGGGCAATTCTGCATGGGCTGAGGTTGTCCTCTCTACCACACGGACCTGACCCTCTAAATGCCTGTAGTGACCCCCTCCTACCATTTTGGCAACAAAAAGCAACCTCATACATTTCTAAAACGCCTCCTGGGGAGGTAGGATCTTCCCTGCTGAGACCACAGCTATATTTAAATAATAATAATAATAATAATAATAATAATAATAATAATAATAATAAAGCAACCAAAGAGAAAACCATCCTCTGCTTTGGGCAGTCTTTGACAAGCTCTCGGCTTTTTTCTCTCCCGCCTCCCTCTCTCTCGTTGAGGCTAAAAGTAAATGAGAATGGTGGCACTGATCCCACATCTAGAAAATTGAAAAAGAATTCATTTTTTTTTAATCATCAAACCTGACAGATTAGGCATGTCTCTCCTGTCACATTTCTGTCTGTCCTCAGAGTTGTTGAACGGAATCTTTCCACGGATCCATGTTATTGCTAATAGGATTTGTCTCAGAGTAAGCATTCAGCCTCCCCTTGTTTCCTGAGACCACAGTGGACACTTTCCTCTTCTCCCTAAGCCCAACCTTCATTGTATTTCAGCTAATAAAATAATTTCCTGCCAGATGGTGGGGGAAAACATAGCCCCTGGGAGAAATGATGTTGCTGTCATGAAAGATTGGACTGGTCATGATGCATTTGGATTAAAGCCAGCCTTTCCGAAGGTGAGATTGGCAGTTGGGTTTGCAACAGGCAGTCCCATCTGGGCAAAGTAGACACTCCAGGACATCAGATCTCGCCGGTGGCAAGTGGGATTTATTTCATGCAATGGGTCCATGTAAGTCTTTTCCCACATCAGTGTTGTGTCTGCTTCAGAGTTGGGGGGATTTTCGTAGGACTTGGAATTTCAAAGGGAAAACATTTGGCTCAAGTTAGAATTTAAGGTTCTTCGGGAAAAAAAATTTCTATTCAGTCCTGTGATCCCAGCCCCAGCCTGGAGGAGGCAGAACCCTTCATTCCAAGCCATTTTCCTGAATTATATTATCTTCTAAGTTTCTTTCAATTCCTTATTTGAGACTTTAGACTAGGTTTCCTGTTCTTTAGAGTCTTGAAGGAAGGTACAGTTAAGGACTATTCCTCTCTCCTCAACTTTCTCCAAAGTATTGTCTTGCAAGAGTTCCCATGATTACTTCTAACCACTTAAATGTTTATTAAAGGCAATCAATCACTTCAAAGCAAAAATCTTAGATCTCAGTGAAATGAGGTTCCTTTTGTTCCCCATGACATTCTGCTCTATTTCCTCTAGGACTCAATGTTACACAAATCCTGCCACTCATCCTTGAACCACAACTTAATCACTCATGCAAAAATTAAGATTCGATCACTTGTGTAGAAATTAAACTGACCTTTTCCTTTACCTGTAAAATAGAGGCAATACTAGCATTTTCCCTTAGGAGAATTGTGAGGATTAAATAAGATTCAGGTGTACAATGCTCATTGCAGTGCCTGGCTAATAACAAGCCCTCAGTAAACTGTCGATCTAGCTTCATGTTAAACCTGTGCAGGAAATCTCATCTTCACTCAACTCTTGGGCTCCAAGCATCCTAGTCCAAAAGTTGCCCCAGCCAAAACTTAGGATTCTTCTCTTTTGCTTATGCTCTGTGCATCTAACTCATTGGTAAGTGCAGTGAGCTCTATCTAAAAAAAAGTCTGAGTCCATTTCTGTTTCCTGATCTCTACCACCACCAACATCCACTTTCCTCCTCCACCTTCCATTATCTTGGCTGTGGCAATTACATCCTAATTGATCTTTCTATTTTGACTCATGGCTTTTTAAAATCCATTTTCTTCATTGCAGCTGAGTCATCTTAATTTTTTTTTAAATTTAAGTTCTGAATGTGCAGGTTTGTTTTTAATTTAAGTGCATTATGTGCAGGTTTGTTACATAGGTATATATGTGCCATGGTGGTTTGCTGCACCTATCAACCCATCATCTAAGTTTTAAGCCCCATATGCATTAGGTATTTGTCTCAATGTTCTCCCTCCCCTTTCCCCCCACCCCCGACAGGCCCTGGTATGTGATGTTCCCCTCCCTGTGTCCATGTGTTCTCATTGTTCAACTCCCACTTATGAGTGAGAACATGAAGTGTTTGGTTTTCTGTTCCTGTGTTAGTTTGCTGAGAATGATGGTTTCCAGCTTCGTCTGTGTCCCTGCAAAGGACATGAACTCATTCTTTTTATGGCTGCATAGTATTCCATGGTATATATGTGCCACATTTTCTTTATCCAGTCTATCATTGATGGGCATTTGGGTTGGTTTCAAGTCTTTGCTATTATAAATAATGCTGCAATAGTCATCTTTTAAAAATTGAACTTTTGTCACTTCTTTCTTTAAAACTACCAGCGGCTCCCCATGCCTCTTAGAAATAAATTTAGACTCTGTACCCAAATTTTCATGATTTCATGTGATCAGATCCCTGCCCATATCTACAATCTCATCTTGTGCTTTTCCTTTTCTTCATCACGTTCCTGCTACACTGCTCCTCTGTAAGAGACTCATTTCTCCCTCCAGACTTTGAACTTGGATTTGTGAACCCAGAATTATCTGAGACAGGTCTCAATCAATTTAGAAAGTTTATTTTGCCAAGGTTAAGGACACACTGTGACACAGCCTCTGGAGATCTTGATGACATGTGCCCAAGGTAGTCAGGATACGGGTTGTGTTCATAGATTTTAGGGAGACATGAGACATCAATCAATACATGTAAGATGCACCTTTGTTCTATCTGGAAAGGTGGGACAACTCGAAGCAGAGGTTTCCCAGTCATAGATAGACTTAAAGATTTTCTGATTGGCAATTGGTTGAAAGAGTTATTATCTAAATACAAAGGAATGTCTGGGGTACAATAATGGGTTGTGGAGACCAAAGCTGTATCATGCAGATGAAGCTTCCAGGTAGCAGGCTTCTGGGAGAATAGATTGTAAATGTTTCTTATCAGACTTAAGGTCGGTGTTGATGTTAATGCTGGTCAGCTTTTCCTGAGTTCCAACTGGCCTTTCCATTATGGCCTGAACTAGTTTTTCAAGTTAACTTTGGATTGCCCTTGGCCAAGAGGAGGGATCTGTTCAGATGGTTGGGGGGCTTAGAATTTTATTTTTCATTTACAAGTTCTTTCAGCCTAGGAGGACTTTCCTTTGGATCCTCCTGTGGCTGGTTTATTGTCATATTCTGCCTTAGCAAAATTGTTACCTCCTCAGGCCTTCTCTGCCCACCTACCTATAGTCTCATGTAGCTATAGAGTGACAGGCATCCTGCTATAGTCACTTGTAAGGTGATCATATAATTTATTATTCAACCTGGAGCACTTATAAGGGGTAAAAGGGGACTTTTACTCCAATTCAGCCAGGATGGTGGGTTTAAAGCAGGATAGTCCTGGATGAATTGAGATGTGGTCAGCCTTCCTGTTTATCATTCACACCTTCTCTATATCACCATGCTTTATTATCTCCATAGCCCTTGTCGTTAGCTGATATTTTTATTTATGTCACAGGTCAAACCCCAAAATTGGGGTTCAGTCCAGAAGACCACATGGGCTCTTGGCTTCACACAGGAAGGAATTCAAGAGCCAGTAGATAGTTAAGTGAAAGCAAGTTTATTAAGAAAGTAAAGGCACAAAAGGACGGCTACTCCACAGGCAGAGCAGTGATATGGGCTGCTCAACTGAGCATACTTATGGTTATTTCTTGATTATATGCTAAACAAAGGGTGGATTATTCATGAGTTTTGTGAAAGGACTAGGGAATTCCTAGAACTGAGGGTTCCTCCCCTTTTCAGACTACTTAGGGTAACTTCTAGACATCGTCATGGCATTTGTAAGCTGTCGTAGTGCTGGTGGGAGTGTCTTTTAGCATGCTAATGCATTCTAATTCACGTATAAGCAGTGGGGACGACCAGAGGTCACTTTTGTCTCCATCTTGGATTTGGCAAGTGTTGGCTGGCTTCTTTACTGTATGCTGTTTTATCAGCAGGGTCTTTATGACCTGTATCTTGTGATACCAGTCCTGCTGACCTCCTATCTCATCCTGTGACTAAGAATGCCTAACCTCCTGGGAATGCAGCCCAGCAGGTCTCATTCTCATTTTACCTAGCCCCTATTCAAGATGGAGTCACTCTGGTTAGAGCACCTCTGAAAAAGCAGGAAATTGCTGGAATTGAGGGTTCCTCCCCCTTTCAGACCATATAGGGTAACTTCCAGATGTTGCCGGGGCATTTGAAAACTGTCATGGCGCTGGTGGGAGTTTTCTTTGGTATGCTAATGCATTTTAATTACTGTATAATGAGCAGTGAGGATGACCAGAGGTCACTTTCATCACATTTCTTTCTTTCATCACCATCTTGGTATTGGTGGGTTTTGGCCAGCTTCTGTGGTGCATCCTGTTTTATCCGCGGGGTCCTTGTGACCTGTATCTTGTGAAACCAGTCCTACTGACCTCCTGTCTCATTTACATACTTGTTATCTCTTGGCTTAATGTAAACTTTAAGAGGAGGAGGATATTGTCTCTCTGGTTCACCATTAAATCTTCATCTTCTTGAATATGTTTAGCAGGTGGTAGAGATTCTATAAGTATCTGTGGAATAAAATATGTTGAATGTCAGGTCCTTTGATTGTTGTAGGTTAGGTAGCTATGGATTAGTTTTCCTTGCTACACCTCTTTTGTCATTTTGAATGGTGACTCGTAAAGCCTGTCTTTCTGTGCTGATCAGGAATCATGTTCTTTTCCAGACCAGGAGATTCCAACCAAAGGTAGCTTGTGGAGCAAATAGGGCTTCTCTGAAGTTTCTTACTTCCCTTTAGTGGCCCCCTTGTTTGAATTAGGTTTGATAAGCACAAAGAAGGAAATAGTTCCAGGAGTAAGAGACACTTACTCAGCCTGCATAGAAGACGTCATAGTTTCCCAGCAGTCAGGGCCATAAAATAAGTGGTCTCCCTGCTTATGGACTGGAAATGCCAAAAATGCAATGTTGAAAATAATACCGCAGGATCACTGAATTAATTATTGTGGGTCCTGATTGTGTAAAATCTGATTATTGTGGAGTGGGGATTGGATTGCATGTTAATATTTAAGTCCTTTGGAAATGGCACTGAAGGAAGAACCCTCCCATACTGTTTGGTTCCTCCAGCCCATCCCCCATGAGACAGGATTTCTTGGGACCCGAACAGAAATCACCTTATCACATCAGCACAGATTGCAGGCAGGGCTTGCACTTGCACTATTTGCATTTGTATAAAGAAAGGGCCTGGTATTATGTAACTGCATGTGGGTTCTGAGGGCTTCTAATGGGCCTCCTTTTGTACAGTCTCTTAGCAACCAATTGAAGTTTGTAAGCTGAAACAAAGAGACTGGAGTCCATCACTCCTTTAGCACATTCCTCTGAGTCTGGCCTGCCTCTAAGAGAGCCAGCCTAGTGGAGGCATACCTTTTCTTCCTTGCCAAAGCTCAGCAATCCTTGTTCAATCATTGCTTCACCTTAGGAAGGAAAGGAGTTGAGAGTTGGGGAGATAGGCTAGGGACTAGTTGTGTTGTGCTTAGAACTTCAACTTAGTCAAGTAAAGTCTTTAAGGCAACTGACCTGCACTCATTCATTCTTAAAAGAGGCAATGTTACTTGACAGTTAAGAGTGTTCTTTAGGGTCAGAAGGAATCCTGGCTCTGCCACTCAACAGCTGCATGTCCTTGGACAAATTACATTATATTTCTGGGCTTCAGTTTCTTCATTTTGTTATGCACGAACAAAAAAATGTACCCTTCTCATTGGTTCACTGAAAGTATTAAGGCACGTTATTAATGTAAACAAATATTCAGGGTTGGGGTTCCCTATGTGTCCAGTACTGTCCTTGGTGCTGAAGGCACTGAAGTAAATGTAACAGGCAAAAATTCCCTGCTCATATATGCAAGGATAACACTATGGAGGGAGATAGAAAAGCTGATGGTATTAATGACAGCATCATGGAAGATCTCACTGAAAATGTGACCACTGAGCAAGACTTGAAACACAATCCCAAGTGAAGGCCTTAACATGGTGCACAAAGGTTGTAAATGCTAAGTACATGTTAGCTTTTATTTAATTTATTCACTAATTAATGTCGTTATTCATCTACTTATTTATTCATCTGGCTAATTCTGAATTACTTACTCATCCACCTGTCCATTCATCCATCCACCCATTCATTCTTTCATCTGACATTACCTGAAGGATATGAATAATATTATTTCTATATTCAACATACCAAGTGCCATAATAAAGGCAGATGTAGATGAGGTTTAGAGCAAAATTTCTTAGCTTCAGCACTACTATCATACCTGGTCATATGATTCTTTGTGTGTGTAGGAGGGGTTGTCCTGTGAATTATAGGATGTTGACAGCATCCCTAGCTTCTGTTCACTAGATTCCCATAGTACTCCCAAGCCGTGACAACCAAATATGTCTCCAAACATTGCCAAGTGTCCCATGGGTAGTGGGGTGGCGGCGGGGGAGGAATTGTCTTCAGTTGAGAATCCCACATTTAGAGGAACACCTTTCTCAGGAAGGAAAATTAATCTACTGCATTTCTCTAGAAAGGAAATGAATCTAAGACTTTAATTTCAGTAGAAATAATAGCATTTTCCAACATTTTGTTTCTTAGAGGCATATTTTCTTGTGCTGAAAAGCAGAAGGGACTTGGGGACTATTTGAAATTGAAAACAGAATCTTACCCCACAGGAACTCTTTGCATTGCCTTTGAGAATTGTGGCTCATTCAAAAAACATCTCCAAGGCTTACCGAAGAAGTGGTTACAACAGGGAAATCTTCACTAACCTGAAGGAATGCAGGCTCATGCTTGGTGCCTTTGGAATTCTTGCCTGATTTTATTGATGACTCCACAACTACAAAGCTCAGCCCAAGATTCCTCAATGGAATAACAAACAGCAAGACTTTCTCTCTAAAGAATTCTGTTGAGAGCAGCCACGTGACTTGATTCCTTGGAAAAAGAACCATGCCTTACAGGGTATCATGTCGAGGCCAGAGCAGCCATCTCTGCCTAAGGGCACCTTTCCAGGTCAATCTCTTCCAAGGACAGCTCCTGACTACTAGGAAGGTAACTTAACTTGCCCGGTTTCTCACTGCCCTGCATATATCTATTCCTGGAGACATCTATGGTGCAAGCAAGTTGTCTGGAAATCCTGCAGTGTCTTAAGCAGCTCTTGAATTTTACCATTTCCCCCCATTCCCACTGTATCTCTTCTTTCCTCCTCTCCCATCCTGGTCAATCAAGTCCCATTTGGTCAATCACGGTAGCTGAATAACTGTTCACCTCATTCCTATGGAGGGTTGCTCACTTCCACCTGTCCTCTGCACAGTAGAGTTCAGTCTTTTCACTAAACACAGACTTCAGTGCCAGCTCCGAGTCCTGGCCTGCAGGGTAATGCATGATCTGCCCTTCTCTCCAACTTCCACACCAACCGCTCTCCCTTCGTGCTCAATCTGCTTTTGTCCCCCCAGCCTCCTTAGCTCATTTACACTTTAAGACGCCAATAGGGTTATCTTATCCCCTCCCAGCACCCCCCAACACCAGTCAAATCTTTGCTGGTAGCCCATTGTTTTGTGGCTGAGAATCCTAACAAGGCTTCCAAGTCCACCACTGTCTGGTTCTTGTCTACTGTAACACCATCTTCCACTATCTCCCATCCCTGTGGTCCAGCTGCTGTGTCTCCTCTGCCCCTCATGTGCACAGGGCTCTTCCCACACTAGGGCCTTTGCTCATGTGACTATCTCCACTCTAGAAGCTCTTCCCTTCCCTGCATGCTGTTTAAGCCTTCACCATGTATCAAAGCTCAGATTCAGCCTCTATTTCTCATGAAGACTTCTCTTACCTCCCTGACAAGTTCCTGTGCCCTGATTATACATTCTTATAGCATTATATTCTCTCATTCACTGCTTCCTAGTTGCAATTTTATATTTATTTACAAGCTTATTATATTATCAGCTCTCATCTATCCAGTTTCTAAGCACCTCAAGAAATGGGACCATATTTGTTATGTTACCATTTTGAACTTAGTATAAAGTGCCTGACACATAGTAGGCACTGAGTAAATATTATATAGTTGGGAAATTGAATAAATACACCCCAGCACTCCTCAACTACGAAGACTTATGTTTGCAAAATTAGGCTAACGTGAGCTTTTCTGGAGCCATGGGGGAAGGGTTGAGGATGGAATAGACTAGAGAATTTGTAACTGGGGAGGTATGAGGGCAGGTCAGCATCAGGAAATTACATCACTTGACATTTTCTTACTCCCTTTTGTGTCTGTACCTTCATCTTATATTATCCAATATTACAAGCCCCTTGAATGTAGGCATAGAGCCTTTTATTTCTAAAACTACAGTGAGCACCTAGCCCACGACCTGGCATATAGTAGGTGCTTAACAAAGCTGCACTGAATGAATAGATGCCACGCATTCTAGATTTAATACAGACCTTACCATCTAAGCTGAGGTTCATTCAGGAGGGACTGGGAAAGGAATGTGAAGGCTCATGATTGTTATTTATTTATTTATGAGATGGAGTTTCACTCTGTTGCCCAGGCTGGAGTGCAGTGGCACGATCTTGGCTCACTGCAACCTCTGCCTCCCGAATTCAAGCAATTCTCCTGCCTCAGCCTCCGGAGTAGCTAGGATTATCGGCATGTACCACCATGCCCGGCTAATTTTTGTATTTTTAGTAGAGATGGGGTTTCACCATGTTGGCCAGGCTGGTCTCGAACTCCTGACCTCAGGTGATTAGCCTGCGTTGGCCTCCCAAAGTGCTGGGATTACAGGCGTGAGCCACTGCGGCCGATCGTTATTTATTTATTCATTTATTTGAGACAGGGTCTGGCTCTGTTGCCCAGGCTGGAGTGCAGTGGTGTGTTCATATCTCTCTGTACCTTCAAACGCCCGGTCTCAAATGATCCTCCCACCTCAGCCTCCCGAGTTGCTGGGAGTACAAGCGTGCACCACCGTGCCTGGCTAATTTTTAATTTTTTTTTTTTTTTTTTTTTGTAGAGACAGGGTCTTAGTATGTTGCCCAGGCTGGTCTCAAATTCCTGACCTGACCTCAAGTGATCCTCCTGCCTTAGCCTCCCAAAGTGTTGGGATTACAGGTGTGAGCCACCGTGCCCAGCCAAGATGGTTATTTATTAGGAAAACATGGTACATTGAAGTTTTTCACAAAACATACGACAGAAAGAGCCTGGATAGTTTTTCTTTTTAAGCTAACATTTATCAAGAACATATTTTTTTTTTTGCCAGCCCTGTGATAAACGCATTATATGCATTATCTAGTTAATTTGTAGATGCTGCTAAATTTGCAGATGAGGAAACTGGGGCTTGGAGACATTCACTTATCAGTCTAAGGCCAGAGAATAGTGGCAAAATTAGCATTCAAACTTGGGCCTGATTTTAAAATTCATGGGCTTAGCAAGTTTGCTACAAGGACTCTTGCGCTAACTCTGGGTTCATAAATGAGTCATCCAACACCTTTTGCCTTCATGCCCTCACCCATTGGATAGATGAATCCATTCCTACTCACATCTCAAGGCTAAATGAAAGAACGCGTGTTTGTGAACAGGCATCAGAATACATATAACTGGAAGGGGTGCCATAATTCATTTATTGTGTTCTGGCTCCCCACCAGCCTAACAGGGCCTGTTATTATGTGACCTCCCATTGCTTAAGCCTCTGATAAGACAGTAAGTCTGTATACAAGGTGACCATGAACTGCTACCTGCTTTCCAATTGCTGTTGGAAGAGCTCCTTATACCTTACGAGGCTAAGAAGATAGAAGAGGTATTTCGCTCTGGTTTTGAGCAATTTGTTCTACTCTGTGAACTTCTGTGTCTGCTTATCCAGTTTCATGAAAATTAGATTAACGAGTACTAATTGGTGCTGACTCCGCTAGCTTAAAATGGATGGTGTCAAATGGAAGAGGAGCCCACCAGTGTGATGTTTGGATCCCAAAGCTGCTGGGAATTAAGTTTCTGCATGGATGTCGATATCATAGGTTACTTGTGGCAGCTTGCTCCAAGCTACTTTTATGGAACACAGTGTCACCCCCACAGATCTTTGAAAGGAGGAAGGATGCTTTTTCCAAAGAGGATTTGCTTCAGATGATTTGGTCAAAATGCTCATTCATTCGAGGAATCTTTTTTGAGCACCTATTAGATGCCAGGCTCTGTTTTGGACTCAGGGGTACCAGTGGTGAATAAAACAGGCAAAGTTCCATCCACATTAAGCATACATTCTACCTAAGGTTGGTAGACAATAATGAAGTAAATATATAATGTCAAGCAGCATTTCCATCTGATACTTGTATATTGATTAAATATGAGATAAACACATATTTTAAAAATGCTTTGTTGAGATATAATTCATATACCATAGAATTCATCCATTGAAAATATACAAATCAGTGGGTTTTGGTATATTGAGTTGTGTAATTATCACCACAGTCAATTTTATAACATTTTCATCACTCCAAAAAGAAACTCAGCAATCTTTAGTTATCACCCTCCTATACCCCATACCCTACCTCCAGTCCTAGACAACCACAAATCTACTTTATATATAGATTTGTCTATTCTGGATAGAGAAAATATCATCTTTTGAGAGTGAGGAGGCATGGGAGGAGACTTTACTGTCCTCACCTCCCAGATGAGGCATTTTGGATTTAGTTTTCCTTGGAGCTCCCTCTAAGATCCAGACTTTTAATCGCTTCACAGGCTCAGTTTCTGGGGGATAGTAGGGGTGCTGGCCAGTGTCCTGATACAGATCCTCTTTTTTACCACTTTACCTTTCACCTCTAAGTCCTACTTGAGATAACAGGTGCAGAGCCAGTCAGCAACTGAGAGTAAATATGCATATATGGAAACAGAAGACACTCCAGTCAGCTGTGCAGTCACATCTCCAAGCAATAAATAAGCACATCATGTTTATAGAAGCCTCACTGTAGTCCAAATTACTGTAATCTCTTACCTGGACTGTTTTAGTAGCCTGGTCTCCGGTCTCCCCATGTTTCATCTTGCCTCTCTTTCAGCCTGTTCTTCCCAAGATACCACAATAAATGTTTCAAAGTGTGAATCTGTCCATGTCACTCTCATGCTGATGAAAATCCCACATAGTCCTCAAGGTAGTCAAGGCTTTCCTTTATAGCCCCTGAGGGCCTGCAAAACCTGATCCCTGGAAGCCTTTCCGGCATCATCTGTCACTATTCTTCCTCCAGTGTCTAAATCACTTTTAATTCCTGCGAAGTGTCACATAATCTCTAGCCGGCCTTTGCCCTCTCTGGAACATTCTTTCCTACCTGCATTGCCTGACTAGCTTCCATATGCCCTTCAGGTCCTAGATTAGAGATGACTTCCTTTAGTGGGAGGCCTTCCTTGTTTCTTCAGGATGTGGTTAGGTACCTGTATTAGCTTTCTACTGCTGCTTAACAAATCACCCCAAACTTAACACCTTAAAACAACAAACATTTCACATTTTCTGTGGGTCAGGAATTCAGGAGTGGTTTAGTTGTATGCTTCTGGATCAAGGTCTCTCATGAGTTGTAGTCATGGTGTTGGCCAGAGCTGCTGTCATCTGAAAGCTTGACTGGGGCTGGAGGGTCTGCCTTGAAGATGGTACATTCCCATGGGTGTTGGCAGAGGGCCTCAGTTCCTCATCTCGTGGGCCTCTTCATAGGACTATTTAATGCCCTTACAACCTGACAGTTGACTTCTCCCGTGATAAGGTTTGTGTGTCCCCACCCAAATCTCATCTCCAATTGTAGCTCCCATAATTGCCACATGTCATGGGAGGGACCTAGTGGGAGGTAATTGAATCATGGGGACAGTTTCCCCCATACTGTTCTTGTGGCAGTGAATAAGTCTCATGAGATCTGATTTTTTTTTTTTTTTTTTTTTCCTGAGATGAAGTCTCACTCTGTCACTCAGGCCATAGTGCGGTGGCACGATCTCAGCTCACTGCCACTTCCGCCTCCTAGGTTCAAACGATTCTCCTGACTCAGTCTCCCAAGTAGCTGGGATTACAGGTGTGTGCCACCACGCCCAGCTAATTTTTATATTTTTAGTAGAGACGGGGTTTTGCCATGTTGGCTAGGCTGGTCTCAAACTCCTGACCTCAGGTGATCAGCCCGCCTCAGCCTCCCAAAGTGCTGGGATTACACATATGAGCCACCGCGCCTCGCCAATCTGATGGTTTTATAAAGGGGAGTTCCCCTGCACAAGCTTTCTCTTGCCTGCTGCCATGTAAGGTGTCCCTTTGCTCTTCCTTTGTCTTCTGCCATGATTGTGAGGCCTCCCCAGCCGTGTGGAGCTGTGAGTCCATTAAACCCCCTTCCTTTATAAATTACCCAGTTTTGGGTATGTCTTTATTAGCAGTGTGAGAGCAGACTAATACACCCCAGAATGATCAATTCAAGAAAGAGTTGGGGGAAGCTGCAATGCCTTGTATGCCCTGGCCTCTGAAGTCACACACTTCTATCGTAATCTATTTGTTAGAAGCAATTCCAGTCAATCCATCTCACATTTAAGGGGGAAGAAAACTATGCTCTACCCATTGAAAGAAGGAGTTTCAAAGAATTGGTGAACATTAGTGACCCTTGTATCCTGTCCTTACAGTTCCTGCACTTACCCCTAAATTAGCTGTTAGCACACTGAGTTGTCATTGTCTATCTCTTTGACCATGAGTTCTTCAAGGATGAAGACTTACTTCCTTTCACAATATTTAGAATATTTCTAAATTCTGTCACAGTTCCTTAAATACTGTTTAGTAACCACTTATTTGGTGAATCAATGACCTGTTCTAGATGCCTGAAAGGTATAGATCAGTGCTTCTCAAACATTAATGGGCATCCCTGCAAATCACCCAGGTGTCTTGCTAAAATGAGGATTTTGATTCAGTAGGTCTGGGGTACAGCCCGAGACTGTTTTCCTAACAAGCTCCAAGGGGATGCTGTGCTCCATGGAGCACACTTTGAGTGGGTTAGGGTTTAGAAGATATGATCCCATTTCTAGATAAGCTTCATAACCCAACTGGGAAGACACACTTCCCCCAGTAGGGCAGCCCAAGGCTGGCCATGAAGTAGTGTCAGCCTAGTCATGGGCAAACCTGCAGTATACTGGACTCGCTTTCCCTCCAGCAGCCCTGATTGATTGAAGAGATGTCAGTGAAGGACAGTCAAGGAAGGGTCTGTGTGATATAGGAAGCCTTCCAAGTAGGCAGCATATTGTCATTTGGCTCTGGAAGGTAGAGCTGGGCGGGGGCCACTCATGTATATGCCAAGGGGTTGCATAGCGTGAGCAAGGGTGGAGGGAGGCTGAGTCAACTCCTTGGGGGGGATCTGAAAGAAAGCTGGGGTTGAGTGGTGGCAGGTGATGGAGTCCCCATCTACACCTCAGAGAACTCATGAGCCCAGACTGTCTGCTGTGGTTGAAGCACTACTTTTGCTGGAGGAAAAGGGTTAGACTATGAAACGTATTTGTACTATTCCTGCCAGTTCTTGAGATATGTGATTCTAAGGCTCATATTTTAGAGAAAATTGAGCAAATCCAGATGTTTTCTGTTCATACCCTGAATCTCACCTTCATCCTTGCTGTTCTGATTTTACCAAGGTGAGGCACGTGTGTGTGTGAGTGTGTGTGTGTGTGTGTGTGTGTGAGAGAGAGAGAGAGAGAGAGAAATCTGTCATCTCAAGTGGGGCATTGTCTTCTTATCACATGAAGGGCCAATGTAAGCGTAGGGTAATAATAATAATCCCCAATGTTTGGGGAAAGGTTTCACATCCATTTAGTCTAGTGGTGCTCAGCTGTAACTGCACATTGGAAACCCCTGTGAGCTTTAAAAATTACTGATGCCAGCAGGGCGCAGTGGCTCACGCCTGTAATCCCAGCACTTTGGGATGCCGAGGCGGGAGGATCACCTGAAAGAACAGCCTGACCAACATGGTGAAACCCTGTCTCTACAAAAATACAAAAATTAGCCGGGCATGATGGTGGGTGCCTGTAATCCCGGCTACTCAGGAGGCTGAGTGGGAAGAATCGCTCAAACCCAGGAGGCAGTGAGCTAAGATCACACCATTGAGCTCCAGCCTGGACAACAGAGGAAGACTCAGTCTCAAAACAAACAACAGAACACCTACTGATGCCTGGGTTCCACCTCCAGAGATTCTGATTTAATGGGTCTAGAGTGTAAGTTGGGCATCAGAATGTTTAAAACCTTCCCAGGTGATGCTACTGTGTGGCCATGGTTGAGAGCCACTAGTTTAATCTTAGATGAACCCTTCACTAATAAAGGTAAGGGTTCATGTAAGATTAAACTAGTGGTTCTCAACAACTAGATAAGATGACCTGTCTTTTTTTATTTTTAAAGAAATGAAAAAATTGTTTTTCAGCAAGTTGAGTGACTGCCTGAAATTCATACAACCAATAAGTAGGAAGGTCAGAACTCAAACTCAAGTTAGTTGGTTAGTGCTCGTTCAATTTGCATTACCAATGTTGCCTCCAGGTAGCTAGTATTATGCACATGACAAAGGAAGAGAACTTGAATTTAGATATCTGGTTAAAGGTCAGACTTTGAGTTAGGGTGTAGTTAGGGCTCTATATTTGTTTTTCTGTTTTTTGTTGTTGTTGTTTGTTTTTTTTACTATAAATCAGTTTATTGTGGTTCAAATAGATAAACTGACATTCAAACATCTTAAACTTTAGGAACAAAAGTTTAACATTTAAACAGAAGTACAGTTTTCAGGAAACATCCAGAAAATAATTTGTTATCTAATCCAGAGTACTGACAAAGATTTCTTCATGATAAATAAAGTGTGTTTCACCAGCAGATTTTTTTTCTTTTTTTTTTCATTCCTTCATAAAAATCACTGGCAGTTTGATTCAGACCAACTTCCTAATGACTGTGGCTCTGTACCTTAGAGGAAACTGCTAAATAAATCCCTTAGGTTAACCAATGAGATTGGCCTATAATTCAGAGGGTATAAGCAAAGCATGTAAGTGAACAAATTAAATTGTTCTTTAGAGATGATGTAAAAGCATGTCCATTACAGTAATTTTCGCCTCTGACAGATTATTCAATTTTCAGTGTTTTACTTTTTTCTGGGGGTGGGCAGGGGGTGATGTGGGAGGGAAGGGAGGGTCTTGCTCTGTTCCCAGGCTGAAGTGCAGTGACATGTTCATGGCTCACTGCAGCCTCAACCTCCTGGGTTAAATGCAATCCTCTTACCTCCGCCTCCTGAGTAGCTGGAATTACAGGCACACACTACCTTGCCCAGCTAATTTTTTAATGTTTTATAGAGGCATGGTCCCACTATGCTGCCCAGGCTGTTCTCAAACACCTGGGCTCAAGCAATCCTCCCACCTCAGCCTCCCGAAATATGTGGATTACTTGTGTAAGCCACTGTGCCCAGCCTTACCTGCTTTAAAACACAAACAAACGAGCAAAAAAAAAAACCCAAAAAAAAAAACACTTAGGTTTTCTTGGAGTCTGTGCTAGTTGCATCTTGCAAATGCAAACCATATAATGCTCTTTAATGAAAACCTTTCCATGCACACCACTGTTAGGAAGAGCATCATTAAATCACTGCCTTCTATACCCATAAAAGGATGATTTTGAGTTTCAAGTTAAATTTACTAGAGATAGCTTGTATATATCAATCATGTCACAAAAAAATATTTCCAAAGTGTTCTCTGTTCATAAATGTCACAAATGCTTCTCCTATTTGTCAGATCATTTTGCAACAGGTTAACTAATACTTATCTACATAAAAACCTGAAAATTGGCACAGGCAAGCATTTTGAATTAGTAGATTACCCCCATGGAACAGTATTCAGACTTACTTTGTCTTGTGGGCTCTGAGGCTCTGGGAGGTAGAGGTGGACCCTGACAGTCCAGGTCATCAACATCCACATTCAGTTGAAGCCTCTCCTCAGGCACAGTCCAGTACTGAATACCATTTATCATTCTGCAAAATGTTGTCTACATCTTTCAGGTGCTGGTCATTCTTAGATTAGCTTCTTAGCTGTTCTGTTGACGAACAGAAGACTTCAATTTTCAGGATGGATGTTCCAGCATCTTCCACAAGCTTTCACTTTCACATTTTTCACTAAATTATTTGTTATAAATTTGATCTCCTTCAAAAGTCCCCTGAAGTCAACTTTGGTTGTAATGTATTTGTCTCTAACGTATTCTTCAAATTCTCTTTGTTTTTTTTCCTGTCATTGGAGGAGAACTGCACCCAGAATCTTATTTTTACTACTTCCACGTGAATGTTAAGGTACACACAGAGGTTTCATCCAGAAGTCTTCCCTCTTCTTTCTGTTAAGTACTTCAATGTGCTCATTAAGCTTCTCTTTCTCTTCCCTTTCCAACAAAGATCTAGATTCCAAGTAGTGATCTTTTTGATGAGTCCTCTATCAAACTATGACACATGTGAAGAACATACCTGAACAACCCTCAGGGATAATGCAGGATTTTTTGAGAAAGTTCCAGGGTATCTCCTGGTGTCAGTGTACTTTCAGTCCTACACCTCAGAGTTTTTTCTTTTTAATAACAGCTTTATTGAGATACAATTCATACCTTACATTTAAAATGTATGATTCAGTGGATTTGAGTATATTCAGAGTTGTGCAGCCTACACCACAAGCTAACTGTAGGATATTTTCATCACCCTGAAAAGGAACCCTACACCCATTAGCAGTTACTCCATTCTACCTACAGCCAGCCTAGGCAACCACTAATCTTTCTGCTTATTCTGGACATTTCATATGAATGGAATCATCATGTGATATTTTGTGACTGGCTTTTTTCACTTAATGTTTTCAAGGTTTATCCACGTTTAGCATATATCAATCCTTTGTTTCTTTTTAGTGCCAAATAATGGCTATGGGCATGGGGTAGAATTGCTAAATCATACAGCAGCTGTTTCATCTTTCAAGGAACTGACAGTCTGTTTTCTGAAGTTGCTACACCATTTTACGTTCCCACCCGCAATTTCTGTACATCTTCACCAACAGTTACTATTATTTCTCTTTTTAACTACAGCCATTCTAATGAATGTGAATCTCAGGGTTTGTTTTGTTTTTTGTTTTTTGTTTTTGTTTTTGTTTTTTTTGAGACAGAGTCTCACTCTGTCACCCAGGCTGAAGTGCAGTGGCACGATCTCAGCTCACTGCAACCTCCACCTCCTGGGCTCAAGTGACTCTCCTGCCTCAGCCTCCCAAGTAGGCGGGACCACAGGCATGCACCACCACACCAGGCTAATTTTTGTATTTTTAGTAGAGATAAGGTTTCACCATGTTGGCCAGGCTGGTCTTGAACTCCTGACCTCAAGTGATCCACCTACCTTGGCCTCCCAAAGTACTGAGACCACAAGCGTGAGCCACTGTGCCCGGCCTCATAGTAGTTTTGATTTACACTTCCCTAATGATTGTGTCCAGCATCTACTGGCCATTTGTTAGTGGTTTTTTCTTCTTTAAAAAACTGCTGAGACATCCATAAACATTTTCAAAATGCAGGGTATGTTTTTCAGTGTTAAGGCAACTGTTTTGATGTGTTTTCCTTTGCTCTCTATCACCAAATACTGTACATACAAATAGTAAGACTGGGCTTTGTGTTGTCCACTGTCAATCCTAAATGAAACAAAATACATGGAGACTTTGAAAATCCGTCAGAATAATGCTATAGTTAAGATTTTGCTAAAGCAAGTGTTTTTTCTAACTCCTTGAGCTGCATATTGCCTTGAGTAATCATCAACCGGATTGTATCCTCTTCGGTGGCAGTTTTGTTTCTTCTGAATTCTTCCCTTGCCCAGTCCTTCAGGTATTTGCAATCAGAATCATTTGGAACTTGCCAAATTGTTTGCAAAATCCTTCTGTAGAGGAGAAGAATTTGTTGCCTTCTTATGAACGTGGGCACTGGGCAGCTGAGGCACCGGGACTCAGGGACATCAAGCGCCTGATGCATCTCATGCGACCGCACCAAAACCCAGGGCTCTATATTTCTAATGTCCCTGTTTGCTCTTCTCCTGTTTCTTTGAAGCCAAGTTTGGGCCGATACCCATATTAGATTAATAAATCCTAGGCTCCTTGATGACAAAGGTGATATTACTATCTGCTGATCCAAACCATGAATAGTCAAGGTTGAAAAATGAAATTGGCAGGAAGAAGTGTACTTTATTGGACCCAACCTTGCAATGTCAATGTTCTTAGTTCTGAGAAATTCTTGCTCCTGGAATTCATCCAGTTTCATCTTTGGATACCTGCAACCTCCCTGCTCACAACTCATTCTTGATTAAATTAGCAGATGCTGATGATAGAATGAGACTGAGGCCAGTGATGCTAAAATAATTTCTTGCTGGTGAAGGAGGCCCCAGAGGTTTTACAAAAAAATTTTTAAAAGCACCACCTAGGGAATAGAGCCAAAATGCTCAGACACTGCATGGAAGCCAGGGATTGTATTAAATCCGAGTAATTGGAGTGGAGAGGGAGAGTGTTTTGTAGTAATTGTCATCATAGCTGGCACCAGATCTCCTCTCAGGTAAGAACATAGAAGCTTGGAACTTACGAGAGAACTTAGCTTTCCAGTATTTTTTAGGTGTGGAATGTGAAGTCATGAGGGGGGCTGGTCTGCGAAGAGTCAGCAAGGTGAAAAGAGATAACAGAGTGTCTTGGGAGGTGCAGGAGAGCAGACAGAACAGGCAGGGAATAAAGAGAGGGAGATGGAAACGTGTCTGGAAGCTGGAAATTGCCCAGGCAGGTGGCCATTGAGAGATTTCTAAAACTTCTGAGAATGGGGGTATGTAATATTCTAAATCATTTGAAATCTTATGCAATCCTTTATCTGAATGCCTTGATGGAATCTGCTTTCTACATAGCTCTACAATTGTATTTTGAGGAATAAAGGGACCAGGGTACTTATTAGGGAGAGGTCATACAGTGCAGAAAGGAGAAAAAAAAAAAAGAACTTGCAGAATAAAGGGGTGATCTGTAAAATGAACCAATTCAGTGGAAATGAGACCCAGGGTTGTAGCTGAAGTTGACTCCCCAAGACCCTCCAAAGAGATTGGGGGGCAATACTGTGTCTCCCACAGTTTGGGGTGTTTTGAAAAAATCTCATTTAAATCTCTGAAGTCAAGGTGATGCCACTTTGTCGCAAATGGAGTCTTCAGGAAGATATCCAGTCTGCAATAGCAAATGTGGAGGCCAGACTAAATGGAACGCCCCTGAGGAAATTATGGATGTAGCAGCAGTCCAGTTCACACGCTCATTCATTCATTCATCAAACACTGGCACAACATCTTACATTGTCAAGGCATGTAATGTGTGCCGAGAATATAGACACTGTCCTTGCCTTCAAGGAACTTTCACCTTTGGAGTGAGAAGGCGAAAATAACTGATATTTACTGAGCTCTTTCTGTATGCAGATACTAGGCTATCTATTTCACAGGCTTTGTCTTTTTAAAATTCTCCCAGCAGCTTTATAGGTAATTATTATCCCCTATACGTGTGTGTGTGTGTATATATATATATGTGTATATATATGTGTATATATATATGTATACATATGTGTATATACATATGTGTATATATATGTGTATATACATATATGTGTGTATATATATGTATATACATATATATGTGTATATATGTATATACATATATATGTGTGTGTATATATATGTATATACATATATATGTGTGTATATATATATGTGTGTGTGTGTGTATATATATATATATATATATATATATATATATATATATATGGAATCTGAGGCCCAGAGAGATTAGGGAATTTGTCTCAAATCTGACTTAGCTAATCTATGATAAAAAAACAAATGTTTGGACACAGGATTATCTGACCCTTAAGTTGGGGGAGGGGTTCTTATTTTGGTCAGAGGCAATTGAAAATTGGCAGTAGGTGGATCAGTCTGGATGTGTAATTTGGAAAATATTCCCGGTGTTTTTCTGGAGTCTCACCTAATCTGCTCTGATGCCTAATAGCCCGTCCGTTACCAGTGCTTTCTAACACAGGGTTAGCCATTGCTATTCTCATCAGCTCTATGTTTAGAAGCTTAACGCATCGACTCAGCAAGCCACAAACACCGTATCATGGATGCGCTGGCTAGCACGAGCATTCTGTGGGCCTGCTAAGGGGACGGGGCAGTGGAGAGCGCAGTGTGGAGCCTGGAATACTGATGCTCCAGAAACGTGGAGAGAGATGCCGCTCTTCATGGCAGGTACGCAGGCCTTGCTTCCTGCAGCAAGTTAAAATCATCCACCATCATTAGCAAAGGGCTGTTACAAGGGCCTTTTTAAAGTGTCCTGTGCCCAGGCTACAAGGAGCAATCCATCATGTTCCATAAGCATAAACACTCCACAGCTAATTAAGTGAGGGTGAAATCATCTGCACCATCCATGTGATATTTATTTAAAATGATTTGCTTAAGATAGGCCCAGAGTCCTTCTCCTTAGGGAGGTATAGAGGAACTGGGAGGAGAAAATTTGGGCACTTGAGGAGCAGAAACGAATTGGACTGGCAAGCGGAGAAGCCACCTGGGCCTGCAGTTGGCTGTGGCAGTGAATGGACATCTGTTGTTTTTGTCTGTTCGACACCATCCTCTCCCGCCGGGGATCCATTTCTCTTCTACTCCTATCATGTAATGGGGATGGGGCTGCCAATCACAGTTTACCGTCCAATGCCCTGGTCGCAGGGGTCAGCATACCATCCAGGTTCAGCCAATCGTAGTGCCTTGTTTGCCTGATCTGAGTGATAGGTCCAGAGTTAGAGCCAGCCCTTTTGGCAGTGAGGACAAAGGACGTTGATATTTTTGTGTTATGGAGTTCAAAGGACAAGCAGCAAGAACTTCTGGGGCCTTCTTTATTTACCATGTGGAATTAGCTGTCTGTAGGAGATAATATCAAACAAAGGCCAGCAAAAATGGAGGAAGAGAGGGCTGTGAGTATTGGGGCTCCAGTTTCAGTTCTTGAGTCCCCTGAGTGCTGTCCTAGTTCTTGTAATTTGCGTTTTAATTGTTGTCTTCTAACGTTTCATAACTTAATACATTCCCCTTCTGATTACACGTCTGTGAATTGGGTTACTGTTACTTGAAAGTGAAAGAACCTTGACTAACATAGATGTGAACATCAACAATCACATCTTGGGAACATTTTCTTGCATGGAGCTGGCACCTTAACATGTTCTGTATTTGGTGCTGGGTGGCAATTGGACTGTACACTTACACGTCTGAACTTGAATGGACCCCAGGTATCAATAGGCCCCATTCTCCCATTTATTTGGCAGTTGAGGGGGCTGAGACTCATCATGGAAGAGAGACTCGCCATGATCACACAGCAAATCAGTGGCACAACCAAAGCTGTGAAGGGCCTGGGCCTCTTGGTTCTCAGGCCAGTACTCCCTGTCAGGGTTAGGGCTGATGATGTTTCCAGGCAGAGCAGTGGAACAAATGAACTAACTATGAATGCACAGGATCAAGAGTCTCCAAAACATGTCAGGCCAGCCATACCTCCTTTTTGCCCCAGCTCTAAGTTTCCACCCTTACAACTTGCCAACACCAGGTGGACTGAATTATTCTTGGTTTGGTCTCATGCTCAGAGACCCAGCCTAGAACTCAACTTTCAGCACCTTGGCAGCAAGGCCTCAAAGCCAACCGTACAAAAAGCCTAGATGTTTTCAACATCGGTGTGGTGTGACTTCAAAGCATGGTCATCTACGTATCCCATGGAGCCATGAAAGAGGCGGGCTGGTGGGGGTGGGTGCACTTGCTGAGACAAAGCTTTCTACTCTCACTTCACCCAGGGCACCCCTCCTAATCACCCATTTTTAAGTCTTTTTTTTTTTTTAAATATATATATATGTGGAGGTTTAAGGTACACTGCTTGAAAAAGCATTCCCCTTAAAGAAGAAAAAAAAAACTCTTAAAATCACGAATTTAATGAACTTAAACCCAGTAAATAAGCAGGAAAGAAATTCCAACTGACCCTTCAGTAGGCCCAGAAACCTCATTATTGAAGGTAAAAAATCACAGCTTACTTTACAATGACCCATATTTTGACAAATACTATCCATCAAATGATGGTTTTAAAGACAGAATCTTGGACAAATGGCCCCATGCCCATATTGTTAATTAATTAAGATATATGGTCTCATTCACTTGTCCGTTCACTGAATATTCACTGAGTGCCCATACGCTGGACTCACTGTGCTAAATACTGGAGGTACCACAGTGAATAAGATAACTGTGATCCTTACTCCTACGCAGATTTTAGAAATTTATTCTTCCCTTGCAACTGAACTCATTTTTTGAGGAATTATCTCCGGGCAGAGGAAAGGGAAGTTGGCTGTAAGATCAGGCTGGAAAGAGGTTTTGACAAATGAATCTTGGGTCCATCCATCTGTCTAAATATGGAGTCAGTCACCATCTCTCCTGAGCCAAGCTCAAGGAGGCTGAAGCTGACACAGCTCTCCATATATTTGCCCCTCTGTGTGTCTAATGGGGAGATATCTAGCCTATTTTGTTCTAGCTGCTAAAATCCTATCTGTGTCTCAGTGCCTGTCTTCCTTTAAGGATTTTGAAGGGTGAATTAGAAGCATCTTTACAACCCAGGCATCTAGGCTCCCAACCCCTGGGCATAGCCCTCAGAAACCACATATATACATAATAGTGAGCTAACCTCAGGGGTGGAGGAACTGGTCTTCCCAGTGACTTATGAAAGTCTCATTGGAAGATGGGAAACTTTGGTTCTAGACTTGACCCTGATGACCATGGGTAGCTTCAGGCAAATCCCTTCACCTGTCTGGCTCTCTACTTTACCGACTGAGTGAAGGAACCAAAATGTGGATTTTCCCAAAGAAACATTTGAATTTCCATTTCTGATTGGATTAATTAAGGTAAGGCTAGCCTGCTGTAATTGAAAGTCTCAGGGGCATAACAAAATACATATTTATTTCTTTTCATGTCATAGTCAATAGGGGTGACTCTGGTCAAGCATTCTTTTATGTGGCTATGCAGGGGCTCAGTTACCTTCCAAACTGTGGCTCTGCCTTCCTTTAAGGTAGAGGCTGTGCAAAGTTTCCAAAAAGACCACCTGAATAGGCCAAGTGGATGAATGTACAAAATCAAGGTGATTCAAAACATCTGAGCTGGCAAATAGGGAAAGATTGAGAGAGGAGAGACTCCAGTGGGAGGTTTTAGGGACCAGGGCTAGAGGTGCCATGTACCTATTCTACCTACATTCCATTGGCCTGAGTCAGTCACATGGCCATGGCTAAGAGCAAGGCAGTCTGGAAGATGCAGTCTAGCTGTTCCATTGGCCTGGTCACATGGTCACAGCTAAGAGCAAGGCAGTCTGGGAAATGTAGTCTCTGTGGTAAAGAGGAAAGGAAAACACGTTTGCCAACCAACCAACCAGTTGGGTATAGGAAACTGCAACTTTCCATGGCAGTCCCTTCTTGTTATTCTCTACTCAGTACGGGTTTAAAAATCATATACTTCTGCCTCAACCAGGAGGTACTTATAGGAGGTTGTTGCTATAATCCAGTTAGAAGATGACAGCAGTTTTTATGAGGGAAATGTGTCCACACACCCAGGTTTTCCCAGGATAGGCCATTTATGCCTGCAGTCTCAGCATCCCATCCACGTGGTGCTTCCTTTAACTCTCAAAAGTATCCCAGTTTGGATGATAAATTATATAGTCATCCTATCTTCACCATGCAGATGACAGAAGAGAATATGAGATTGTGTAAAGATGCACAATGTTGCTGAAAAGAAGCCACATATAGTCACTGTTCCATAAAGGCAGTGTTTTTTTAATTTTAAAATTCTGCATCTGAAAACACAGTATGACAGAAAGCATCTATATACACCTGCAGTGTTTTTGGTATGATACAGTATTTAATACATCCACTGTTTTCTGCAAAAAATGTTGCTTTGTCAGACAGAAACAAACTCCCCTAGACAAAAAAATACAGCTAAGGCACAATTTTGTTGTTGTTGTTGTTCTGCAAAATAAAAAGACAGAAAAGGTGCAAAAAAGGGCAGGTAATGCAGTCATTTCTGAGACTCACATTCTACCTCAAGGAAAAGCATTCAGATGATTGGAACTTTGATTACTGGTCAATTTCAGATAGTTCAATATCTCTTAAAATACTCCTTTAAATAAATAGCAAAATATCTACATATTTCAGCGTGTGCCATTTGAATTCTTTTTTTAAAACTTTATTTACAGATTTTTTTTAAAATCAACACATTACAAAATATTTCTGTACAGTTTTATGCATATTATGATCTATAACAAAATAGTTATTTTTAAAAACTATATCACCACATGTCTTTGAAAACAATGAAGGGGACGGTAATAACTTAGAGTGAGGCCTCTAAAACAAATACCCAAACAAATGCTATTGACAACATAATATTTAAAAAAAAAAAAGGCAAAAGGACTACAAAGACAATTGCGCACAATTCCAGTGAATTTCCTATGAAAACCCTGGGGTTGTCTTTGGCCTCCATCAGCACTGGAGCAATGGAAGGGTAAAGAATAGAGTCTGAAGGTAGGGAAAGGGTGATTCCTTTGAGAACACTACCCATCTGCTGGGAATATTTAGTGCTATCACTTTCCAGGCAGGAAGGACGAAGAGATAAATGGAGAACGTCTCCTGATTTACCCTTGAATGAAGTACATATAAAGTCACCCAGTCTTGGGGGCAGGGGAGGTCTGCAAAGCCTTTTCAAGCACTCTGCCGATAATTAAGCCAGCCCATTACAGCAGCAGTATGCTCTGAGAGAGTGCTTCAGGAGTTGGCTGAGCTTTAGATGAGCACCCAAGCCTTCATTTTGCCCATAGGAAAAATATAAGAACATTTTTCTTAAAGACGACATTTGTAAGCAATTCCTATAGCATCTGCCAACTACAGATTGGCAGCCCCTTCCTTAGGAGGCTGCCACAGAAGCTTCACGATGCTGTCTTCTCTGATGTTGGTGGAGATGGGAGGGAAAGGATGGATGGTCAGCTTCCCAAAAATAATGTTAAGGCCACATTTCAAAAAGGAGAAACCTAAGGCTTTTGTTTTGTTTTGTTTTGTTTTTGAAGGAGGGATGGGAGAAGCAAGTTGGAGGAACATGAGGGATGGAGTAGATGACGTTAGGGAGGGGGATGACAAGGTGCAGAACCCGCTTTCTGGTGGTATCTGTAGGCAGAGGCAGTTGGAATATTCCCAGCCAAGTGGAGAGGGAAGAGAGGTCACTTTCTCCCTGCATACGCCTGGTAAGACCAGAGCCAAAGACAACGTGAGGGGTAGACACAGGTGGCGCAAGAAAGCCCTCCTCCATCTTAAGAGGGTCCTATACAGTATCTTGTTTGCAAGGTAAACACAAAACAAAACAAAACAAAACAAAAAAACTTCTAAGAGAGCCAGAGAGGAAGAGAGAGAGGAGAGAGAGAATTTGCATAGATCATACATTCAGCTCAAGCAGATTTGGACAACTTTGTTCCCCCCTCCCAGGTAAACTTCTCAGCAGACACAATGAGGTAGCGCCTGTGGTAGACCCATGGGCAAAGTAAGGTAACTGAGGCAGAAGCAAACAGGACATCCCGTGAGCCAGCACAGCTCTATGTGGTTTCCAAAGAGGCTTCCAGGGATGGGACAAGATGGCTGTGTCAACACTTGGGATTTGGAGAGAGCCTGGCTGTTTCACACCCTACCTCCTCCTCCTCCTAGACTGTCTTTGCCATTTCGGCCTGGTTTGATGGAGTCCCACAAGCTGTAGCCCCAGGCAGATGTGGACCTCTGCATATCTAAGGGGCAGCAGTCCAGATCTCCAGATTCTATTCCTTCTTCCCTTCAGCACAATCTTGGGACCAGGAGAGCTGAATGATCCATCCCCCCTCTGTGGAATGGTCTCTTGAGGAGTGGAATGACTTAGCAAGAGGTCCCCATTCCGAGTTCAACATGGGCTGTTATTTTTGCCCTGACCTGATGCTGGCTTTTTTCCTCTTCTACCAGGGCAATGCATAATCTCACTTTAAACCACCTCTCCAGAGAGCAGAGGTTGCTGGCAGTGTACACGTGGAACAGTGGAATTTTTCTTTGCCCACTATCTGTTAAAAAAAACAAAAACAAACAAACAAACAACCCGACGTTGAAAAATCAGATTTTTTCCATTAAATCTGGATTTCCGGCTTCCCTTCCAAATTGGAAGATTCCACTACACTGTGCTTACATTTTTACAAACAATGACAGGTTGGGGCTGAGTAGCAGCTGCTCATTCTGGGTAGGTCACGTGCATGCCAGTAAGACCACAGTCCCCATCCTTGCCCCCACCATGCCCTTTTGCCTCACACCAACCATTTCACGCATCTATGCTAGTATTCTGGGCCCCATAAACATTTGTAACCCCTACCACAGTGTGTGGCTTTGATCCTGCAGGTCTAGCTTGCTGTCTTTAAAGTGGAGTGTGTTAACAGCTGTTTCTAGAATGTACACCTCTCCACCCCTAGATGTACCCCTCCACCTGAATGTACACCTCTCCACCCCTCGATACTGCTGGGAAGCTGGTGCTCCAAATCCTCAGTGAACTTGGTTGTGAAAGGACTCTTTATTCACACCCCACTGCCAGTAGCTACTGCCCTGCTCTCTGCATCTTTTTGGCAGAAAGCTTAAGGTTCTAGCCAGTGTCTTCTGTGTTATCTGCAAACTAGAGAACCAGAGGGAAACATGGTCTTCAGACACCCTACTTGTGCCCAGAGTAGAAGCAATTGCAGTGAGTGAGAGATGGGGGCAGGTCCTGTGGTTCTGCTCATCCTCTCTAAACTCCATTTGCGTTTTAGAAGTTAAACCCACAATGAGAAATGAAGCCGGAAGGACTCATGATCTCACCAGGAAAGCCTTTTTTTTCCCCTGCAAAGGGAGAAAGCAGCGCGCTTCTCACAACACGGGGACCTTGGGAATTGCTCACTGCCTCCTTGGAGACACACTGCTTTACGTGTGGACCGGGAAGTGAAGTGGGATGTGGGAAGGCTGGCTGTCTCCTGAGCTCAATTTCTGCCTGAATGTCACTCGGTGGGTGGGAAACTATAAGGAGTGCCGCAGCCTAAAGAATGCTTCCTTCTCCACAAACCAATACCCCAAGGCCCACCTGTCAGCCTTCCTGAGTTTCCAGGGACCTCGTCACTGGCTCAGCTCACAGCTGCAGGCTGTAATAGGTTTCCAGAGACCACAGCCCTATGCTTTTGAAATCTTCCACAGCCCAAGCTCCAGGCTGTCTGACCAATGGCCTCCAACAAATAAATAAATCATTCTCAGGCAGGTTAAAAAAATTATTTTCCCTGGGAAAACATCCTCTTTTCTCAAATCATGCTGGGCTTTGTTTGGGATTTTCCTTAAAAAAAAAAACAAAACACAAAAACACAACAAATGTAATATCTGCAACCTTATTCTCTGGTCTATTAATTAATAACATCAGAGAAGGGAGAGGAATACCCTGTGTGACTTCTCAGCTCCCCGAATTAGTTGTGGTGAGGAAGAAATGAAGCCATGGGAAAAAGGGAAGGGTCCCCAGAGTCAGCCAGCTCTGCCATTTCTCCACTTGTTCCAGGATAAAAACAAAAAAAGGCAGACATGTTAGTGGGTGCAGGAGGGGCCCCATCTTGAAGTCTGCAGGTTCACATTATGCACAGGGACTTGCCACTGCTGAGTCCCCAAAGCCACTGCAAATAACGCTGCGAACACAAAGCACTGGTGGCCCAGCAAGGAGGGTGAAAGGGAAGCTCCCAAAGTGGCTTCGGCAGCCCCAGGGAAACCCTGGCCAGAGGCAGAGGCCGGGGGCAGAAAGAGGATGTGGCACCCAGCGCGTGGCCACCATAGAGTCTGTAAAAGAGATCATAGGGGCTTTCTGAGAAAAGTACCCTGAGATCCCTGGAATCGCTGTTGAGAATGGCTATCTCCCGGACTCTGCTGCCTGGATCTGACGACCCTCCTCCTAAGATGGATCTCTCTCAAAGGAGCCTGTTTCCCTCTGTTAAGGTCGCATGAATGCCCATAATTAGATGGGCCATGGGAAGGCAACCACGGAGCAAGCAGGAATGGCCCAAACTCTCTGCAGCTAGCACATTCCCCACAAACTCTCTGCAGCTAGCACATTCCCCACTCACCCTCCACGTTTTCTGCCTGTCACCTCCTTGTGCCTGTGACGGGGGGTGAGTAGGGGGAGGATGGGAGGCTCAGGAATTCCAATACTCTTGGAATCCGAGGGAGAGTGAGGCTGACACTCTGCATAAGGAAAAAAACAAGGCTCCAACGGTCCCCAAGGCACCCCACTCAAAGCCAGTGGAAGATGCGGGTTGGAGCTTTCTTTGCGTGGTGTTCGATGCCCCTGCTTTACTCTGAGGATGAGGAGGATGGGGGGTAGACGCAGAGAAAGAGAAACCGAGAGAGAGAGAGACACCAGGGGGTGGGAAAAGATGGGAAAAGGGGCCTTTTGTGAATAAAGGCAGCTTCAGTTAGTAAGGTAACATAATTGACAAGCTGCAAAAACAGCACCTACTAATTAGTCATCGACTAAAACATGTAAATAATAAATATCTAAAGTGTCCCTTCTCTACGTCCTCCATTGCCAACAGGACACCCTGCCTTGCGAGGCTTGGGATGGGGCAACACATCTGGCTAGGATTAGGACAAGTCACACAAAGCGAAGGGCAGCCCCTTCAAACCCACGCTGGAGAGAAGTGTCAGGACTGGCTCTCCATGGGAAGGGCAGATGGCTACCAGGGGTGAGACCTTTTTCCAAGGGAATCCCATCATTCAGGGGAGGTGGGATTACAGGAGCAAGGGAGGCCTCCTGCGAAGAGCTCTCCTGGTGAACAGGGATGACACTCCAGGGGGCTCGTGGCAAGGAAACCTTTTGGGTTTCTGGTAACTCAACACTTAAATCATACTGTTTTTTGTTGTTTAAATAACCTTCCCATTTTTATGTTGCATGTCCCGTTGAGCCTGTGGCCGAAGGGCATGAAATTAAAAACCAAATCTGAAATGCTATTTCCTGGACGGGAAAAGTCTGGTTCATGTGGTTTGGTCACTCCCAACAGCACCGGTGTGCAATTGACGAAGGTTTTGTGTGTCTGACCTCAGAACGGAAGGGCTCTGGCAGGGGATGGGTGCTGCTGTGCTGTCTAGCTCAGGAGTTTTGCTCCAAGCATTGCTTTGTGAGTTTCATCGCGTTGCCTTGTGAGTTTCATGGTCATGGCTGTCAAAGTTCCCATTTTCAAGGATCAAAGAAGGTCATGGTCTTGAGTCTGGTGCTCACAAACATCATCCTATTTCTGCTACTTTGTGTGGCAGCCTTGAGGGAAGGAGGCCCAGACCCCTGGACAGGTGGCAGTTGCACTTGTGGCTGGACCTTGGCCATGCCACATCAAAAGGCTTTCCCACTTACCTAGTTACTAAGGAGAATAGTTCAACCCAAGGAGGGCTGCTGAGAGGCTCAGAGCTCTCCTAAGGCTGCAGCCTCCATGGGAAAGGGCCCACGACCATGACTTTCAAGGCTGGCACCAGAGTCCCCCAGCCAAGAGAAGCAGAAAAATGAACCAAAGGGCAGGGCTGGAGTTTGAACCCATGGTTGGTCTGGGCAGTGCTTGTCAAACTGGCATTTGCAGAGCCCTTGGGTTCTGAAGAGGTACCGTAGGAGATACCCTGGGCAAGGGGACCGCCCAGAGGGCTGAGCTTTGGGAGGGAACCTCGCACTTGTCAGCTTCAACCAGAGCAGCTTGGATTTCGTCAGCACCCTGAACCTCCACTTATGACTGTGCTCCGTAAACGAAGTTCTGCTGCTCGAAAGAAAAGTCTGAAAATCACACGTCTGGGGTCAGGGGTGGGTCACTGGAAGGGGAAGACAAGGAACCTGTAGGACTTGAGGATCAACCAGAAGAGGTGAGACAGTCACAGTGCAGGGACTGAGCCATCCCACCCGCAGCTTGCCAAAGGCAGGTTGTTGGCTGATCCTGCTTTGACCTGCTGACCTTCCCTTTCCATCATTCTATGGCCAGGAGAGACCCATTCACAGAGGGCCTCCCCCAGGGTGGGAGGCCGGGGTTCAGGCCCCACAACCCCTCTGGCTGCTTTCCCGTTGAGATCCTGCTGTGGCCCACTCCTCGTGCCCAGTGCTACCTGAGCCGGCCATCAGGTTTGACTGCCCCCAGCTCCGACTTGGGGTCAGGGCTGAAGGAGCTCCAGGCCGTCTGGCTGCAGGTCTGCATGACCGGGCAGGCTGTGGGGCCCGTGGCACAGATGTCCATGGCAGTCCACATCCCGCCCACCAACGAGTCCAGCCATCCCTCCAGCGCTGTGCCCGTGGAGGCTGCGTTCCTCCGTGCCTGTTCCACCTGGGCGGGGTTGATGGGCAGGCTGAGGACGGGGTTTAGGCTCTGGAAGCTCTGCTCCATGTAGGCATTGCGGAGGGGCCCATTGTGCAGCTTCAGTGCCTCCTCTGAAAGCCAAAGGGAACAATTTCAGGATCAGAAGAGCCACCAATAGGATGCCTATTCATACTTACCCTGTGCCTGGTGCTGCACTGGGTGCCATGCATCGCCTCATTTAATTCACATGACAATCTCATGAGGAAGTTCTTTTAGCAGTCCCATTTCACAGCTGAGAAAACTGAGCCCGTAAGGACAGAGCCCACTTTGTACAGGGCACGGTGCATGCCTTTATTCATTCAACACATGTTTATAGCGCATCTTTGATAGTGCAGACACTGATTCAGCCAATATATATTTTTAAGCACCTACATTGTGCCAGGCATTCAGTCAACACATATTTACTAAACACCCATGATCTGCAAGGCACTGTCTCATTTGATAAAGACATATTAAGTACCTATTAGGTACCAGGATCTATTCTAGGTGGTGGAGCAAACCAGATAGGAAGGTTAAGATCCAGTGGAGGGAGAACAACAACAAAGAAATAAGTAGATAAATAAGGTTATTTCAGGCAGTGATAAGTGTCATGAAGGCAAAAAAACAGGGTATTGAGACAAGAGGGTTGGCAAACTGCAGTCCTTGGGCCAAATGTGGCCCACCACTTGTGTTTGTAAATAAAGTTTTATTGGAACATGGCTGTGCCCATTTATTTGCATATTGTCTGTGGCTGCTTTTGTGCTACCAGAGCTGAGTATTTGAGACAGACTGTATTTTACCCAACAAGCTGAAAATATATCTAGCCCTTTACAGAAAAATTTTGCTGACTCCTGGGTTGGAGAGTGACAGTGACCTGTACCCAGGTCTGTTTGGGAAGTCCAGATCTCAGCTGCCGAGCGTCCACCTTGTACTCTGCGTAAGTTGGATTTCTGCTTCCTAGAAGCCTAAGGGTGCATGAACTGACCACAGAACAATCACTCTGAAAGCATGAAGCTTGGACCCGGGTGAGGTGGGGTGGGAGGTCAAACTAGCTCTCATAACAGTGCTGCCTTGCTGGGCCCCTCCTATGTGCCAGTCACTTTGTGAAGCACTTCATACAAGAGCCCAGGTACTGCAGTCATGCTGTCTGGTTTTGCAGCCCCACGTCCAACATACCAGGTGTGTGACTTCTGACCTCCATGCCTTGTACCTCAGTTTCTTCATCAATAAAATGGGTAAAGTACTAATGCCTTCCTTCTCACTTTGTGAGGCTTAAGTGTGCTGACTCATATAAAGTATTTACAAATGACACCTGGCATATACTAAGTGCTGGGAAAAGCTTAGCTAGTGATATGGTTTGGCCGTGTCCCCACCCAAATCTCACCTTGAATTGTAGCTCCCAGAATCCCCACGTGTTGTGGGAGGGACCTGGTGGGAAGTAATTGAATCATGATGAGTTTTTGCCATGTTGTTCTTGTGATAGTGAATAAGTAAGTCTCATGAGATCTGATGGTTTTTTAAAGGGGAGTGTCCTTGCACAGGCGCTCTGGCCTGCCACCGTGTAAGATGTGCCTTTGCTTCTCCTTTGCCTTCCATCATGATGGTGAGGCCTCCCTGACCATTGAAACTGTGAGTCCATTAAACTTCTTACTTTTATAAATTACCCAGCCTCAGGTCATTATTAGCAGCATGAGAACAGACAAATACAGCTAGGATTATTACTGTTGGTATTAGTCCATAATCCTCACACACCTAAAAAACTAGGGGGCTGGTTTTATCATTCCTACTTTACAGATGGGGAAAGAGAGGCAGCTGGAGTTAGAGACAGATCTGGGGTTAAATCCAGGACCGACTGACTCCAAAGGCAGTGCTTATCACTCACCCTGATACTCTACTGCTCAAGGCCATCACCAAGGTCTGATTTTTCACTCATGCAAAAATTCAAACAATTGGGCCAGGCACGATGGCTTACACCTGTAATCCTAGCGCTTTGTGAGGCTGAGGCAGGTGGATCACCTGAGGTCAGGAGTTCGAGACCAGCCTGGCCAACATGGTGAAACCCCGTCTCTACTAAAAATACAAAAATAAGCCGGGCGTGATGGCTGATGCCTGTAATCCCAGGTACTCGGGAGGGTGAGGCAGGAGAATCGTTTGAACCTGGGAGGCGGAGGTTTCATTGAGCCGAGATCACACCATTGCACTCCAGCCTGGTCGATAGAGTGAGACTTCATCTCAAAAAAAAATTTTAAAAATTGCAACCTCAGGCATAAATGGGTTAAACAGTAACATGTACGTAAGAGTGACTACTACTACTACCTCCCAGGGCTGCACGATGAGGAATCAGGAAGTATAGCAATTTGGGGTGAAGGAAAGAAGCTAAACACTTCTATTATTTCTAATAGATGCTATTTCTAATATTTTGAAGACGTTCACATTCATTGCTTGTTTTATTGCTCAGTAGAAGCACATATATATTTTTAAAAAGGCTGGCCAATGAGTCTGGTGAGTTGCGCTTTACCAAATCAGGCTTTGCGAGAGCTGAGATAGCTAGGATTACAAGAAACCTTCCAAGATAATGCAGTGTTCAGAAGACAGTGCTTCCTGTTTGCCTGACAGCAGCTGCCACCACCAAAGGCACCCAGGACAGCCTGGATATTAACAAGTGTCCAGAGCAGGCAAGAAGAAGGAAGAAAGACCATATGCTAACCCTTCTAAAAGCAGTGAGAATAGTAGATGAATTCAAAATTTGCCTTGACTAACACAGACAAGATCGCCACTCCTTCAATTCCCAATGCCCCAGGAAGCAAAAGGGTTGGGTTCTGTGGTTTGGATGGGCACAAGTGGGAGGAAGGAGGTGAGCAGTCATTGAGCACATACTCTGTCTCGCAAGGGGTTTAGCAAAGCTGCTTTCTCCCACGGTAGTTAGGAGCCACAGTGTTTGGAAGTCTGGTCCTAACCCATCTTTCTCTAATACAGGGTAGGGTGGGCAGCTTCAGCCCCACCTGCCAGGAGAACAGAGCCTGCTGTCTTTGGTGCGGGCCCTAATTTCTCTATCAGAGCCCCTTAGTGCCTCTATTCTGCAGAGTGAGAAAGTGGAGAATGAGGAGATACCGAAACTGACAAAAGGCAGGACATTCAAAGGGAAAAGAGCAGCTAACAAACCTGCGAACGCTGGGAGCCAAATATTGTGGTTGATGCAAAAAAACCCTTATGAGAAATGAGGTTAATGTGGGAAACGCTATTACAATATTAGCTTGCGATGCTCGTCTCTATAATTAAATTTTCCTCAATTCCACCTCATCGGATTTCTTGCGATTACCAGGGACGCATCAATAGAAAATTACTCTTGATGAATCATTTTACAAATTGCATTGCTCCCACCTTTGTGTTCACTGTCATTCATTGGAACATCGCTAACAAATACAATTACCAAGGACAGGAGGGCTGCTCTCGGTGGGGGTAAAATGACTCCTGGGTCATCCTGGGCATGTGTAGGGAGAGCCCTGCCTTCCTTAGAAACCCTAGAAGAAAACACTGGAAAAATCAGGACCCCATGAATGGCCCCCAGGCTACTCCACTGGCGTGGGGGTGTGTTCAGGAGCACTGCTTCATTCTGACCAACAGGTGTACCTGAAGCAGCGAAGACACAGCCATTTACTCCCCTCTCCTCCATGTCTGGCATTAGACATCGTTAGAGATGGTAAAGATGTGAACTAGATCAAGAAGGAACCTAAGACCTCTAAGGGGGTGGGATTGGGCCTGGTCAGCTCTGGAGGGGCTGTCTTTTGCCTGGTTCATGGGGAAGAAGGAGCAGGCTTCCAGCTCAAGAAAACATGAGGTCTCTGTCTTTCTGCTTGCTCTGCACAAAGACAGCAGAAGCTGAGCGTTTACTTCGAGACTCCTATGATAGAGGATTGATTGATTCTTTTTTTGAGACGGAGTCTCGCTCTTGTTGCCAGGCTGGAGTGCAATGGCATGATCTCAGCTCACTGCAACCTCCACCTCCTGGGTTCAAGCAATTCTCCTGCCTCAGCCTCCCGAGTAGCTGGGATCACAGGCACACGTCACCACACCCGGCTAATTTTGTATTTTTAGTAGAGACGGGGTTTCTCCACGTTGGTCAGGCTGGTCTTGAACTCCCGAGCTCAGGTGATCCGCCCACCTCAGCCTCCCAAAGTGCTGGGATTACAGGCGTGAGCCACCGTGTCTGGCCTATTTATTTATTGTTTTGGAGATGATAGAGTCTCGCTCTGTCACCCAGGCTGGAGTGCAGTGGTGTGATCTTGGCTCACTGCAACCTCCACCTCCCAGGTTCAAGCGATTCTCATGCCTCAGCCTCCTGAGTAGCTGGGATTTCAGGCACCCGTCACCATGCCTGGCTAATTTTTTGTACTTTTAGGAGAGACAGGGTTTCACCACATTGGCCAGGCTGGTCTTGAACTCCTGACCTTGAGTAATCCGTCCACCTCAGCCTCCCAAAGTGCTGGGATTTCAGGCGTGAGCCACTGCACCAGGCCATGATAGTGGTTTTTGTCCACGGTTCTTGGCTCAGAACTCCTGTAACCCTTCTTACAGTCTTTTCTTACAATGTTGGGCACTTTAGGACTCAGCAAATAGAATCTCTCTCTCGCTCTGGCCTCCTCCTGTCCCCCTTCTCCTGCCTAATGCCAGAGTCTAATCAGATTGTGGGTGATAGGACTCTCATTCCAGAGAGGGCCCTGACACACTCCCTGGAGGAAGGAATTACTGCACAGAGAGGCCAAGGAGAATCTGAACAGACAGGGCTTGCTGAGTTAGGTCAGACCCTTTTTGTCCAATCACATTTTGACACAGTTGTCATGCTTCAGTCATGGGTAACCAATGAAGTCTTCATAAAAGGCCCAAAGGACAGGGTTCAAGGAGCTTCTGGAGAGCTGAATACATGGTAGCATCTTCACAGGAAGGTGAGGAAGAACTCATCCACCTGCCGGGACGGTGGGCACCCCAATGCCATGGGGACAGACTCATCCACCTGCCAGGAGGGTGGTGCACCCCAATGCCATGGGGACAGATTCATCCACCTGCTAGGAGGGTGGGCATCCCTATGCCATGGGGACAGACTCATCCACCTGCCGGGAGGGTGGTGCACCCCAATGCCATGGGGACAGATTCATCCACCTGTTGGGAGGGTGGGCACCCCAATGCCATGGGGACAGAAGCTCCTGCACTCAGGACTCCTCTGGACCTTGCCCTCTGTATAGCTTCATTTGGCTGTTTATCTGCATCCTTTAAAATATCTTTCATAACAAACCAATAGACATAAGTGTTTCCCTGAGTTCTGTGAGCTGCTCTAGCAGAGTAATTGAGCCCAAAGAGGGGGTTGTGGGAACCCCAGTTTGAAACCATTTGGTCAGAAGTTCCAAAGGCCCAGACTTGTGATTAGCGGGCAGAAGGGGGTGGTCTTATGGCACTGAGCCCTCACTCTGTGGTGTCTGATGCTACCTCTGGGGTGGAGAGTGTTGGAACTGAATTGGGGGACACCCAGCTGGTGTCTGCTGCAGAACTGATTGCTTGCTTGCTGACGGGGAAAATTTCCCCATGTATTTTGCTGTCACAGAAATCTTCTGTGTTGATCATGGCAGTGTGAGAGCAGAGGAAAAGTGGTTTGAGAGTTTTTCCCAAACAACTCCCTTTGCTAGGACTCAAGGCACCTCCTCCCCATGCTGTGTCCCCATCCCCTTGCATCATTGGCTAAAAGGCACCCAATCCAGAACTCTTCAAAGCTAAGAGGCTGTAATGCATTTCTGGCTTTTGAGTTTGTGATCTGTTAGAGATGGACATGAATAATTCCAAATATAGAGAGACCCAGAAATCCTGTTTCTACGAGTTTGTGTTATGGATGTAACTGCATGGGAACATACAATTTTTTTTTCTTTTTTGTTTTTGTTGTTGTTTTTTGAGACAGAGTCTCGCTTTGTCACCCAGGCTGGAGTGCAGTGGCGTGATCTCAGTTCACTGCAAGCTCCGCTTCCCGGGTTCACGCCATTCTCCTGCCTCAGCCTCCCGAGTAGCTGGGACTACAGGCACCCACCACCATGCCCAGCTAATTTTTTGTATTTTTAGTAGAGACAGGGTTTCACTGTGTTAGCCAGGATGGTCTCGATCTCCTGACATCGTGATCCACCCGCCTCGGCCTCCCAGTGTGCTGGGATTACAGGTGTGACCACCGCACCCGGCTGGGCACATACAATTTTATGTTTAAGACTCTTCCTTGTTGGGGCTGGGTGTGGTGGGTGGCTCACGCCTGTAATCCCAGCTCTTTGGGTGGCCAAGGTGGGAGGGTTGGTTTAGATCCAGGAGTTTGAGACCAGCCAGGACAACACAGACCACACAACCACAAAAATAGTTAAAAAAAAAAAAAAAAAAAAAAAAAGCCGGGCATGGTGGCACACTCGTGTAGTTTCAGCTACTTAGGAGGCTGAGGTGAGAGAATTACTTGAGCCCAGGAGCTCGAGGCTGCAGTGAGCTATGATTGCATGACTGCACTCCAGCCTAGGCAAAAGAGCCTGACCTAAATTCTTTTTTTTTTTTTTGAGACAGAACCTCGCTCTGTCACCCAACTGGAGTGCAGTGGCATGATTTCGGTTCACTGCAACCTCCGCCTCACAGGTTCAAACGATTCTCGTGCCTCAGCCTCCCAAGTAGCTGGGACTATAGACGCCGGCCACCACACTCGGCTAATTTTTGTATTTTTAGTAGATGGGGTTTCACCATGTTGGCCAGGCTGGTCAGGCTGGTCTCGAACTCCTGGTGTCAAGTGATCCGCCTGCCTTGGCCTCCCAAAGTGCTGGGATTACACGTGTAAACCATGGCACCCAGCCAACCTCTGTTATATTAAAAAAAAAAAAAAAAAAAAAAAAAGACTTTTCCTTGCACTATTATCAGTAACATCATCATCATCAGCAGCAACAACAGAAACTTATGTGTCCACCAATAGGGGAACAGATAGATTGTGGTTCCTTAACCCAGTGGAATATCATGTAGCTGGTAGCTTTATATATACTGACTTAGAAAGTAAAAAAAAAAAAAAAAAAGCAATCTTACAGTACACAATGTATTATTTCATTTTTAAAAAATAGCAAAGGTTTTGTGATTTATGGTGTGTATTATGTTTATGCTTTACAAGTATGGAAAAACTTCTAAAAGGATTCACACCAGACTGTTGGCAGTGGTTTCTCTAGAGGTAGGATTTGAGCAGGGAGAAAGACTTTCCCCTTAATAAAAGGAGGTGAAAAGGGGCGGGGGAAATAGAAGTATAAAAGTAAACCCTTTCAATGGACAAAGAAAAAAGTCAGGCAGGATAGGAACTGACATCCCAGTCCCTGTTCTCCATGGGGATGGAAACCCTGACCTGAATTTCATGTTAATTTCATGTTTCATTTCCTAACAGCTGCCTTTGACATACGACTCCTGAAATAAGATATTGTTGACTTTGCCTGTTTTTGAACTTGACATAAATACATCATAATTATGATTTATCTGTGATATTTCCCCCTCAACACTATGTTTTAGGGACTCATCCAAGCCAACACATGCCCATGCTTTACTGCTATTCACGGCTGCATAGTACTCCATTGTATGAACAGCCAGCCAATTGTTTCTCCTTTCCAGTGTCAGGCAATCAGACCGTTTCTGGTTTTGTGCTATTAAGAATAATTCTCATGTGAGCATTTCTGCACATGTCTCTAGGGCCTATACCTTGGGGTCAGACGTCTGTGGTAGGGTGTGTGTATGTTCAGCTTTACTAGGAGATACTAAAACATTTTCTAAACTCGTCTTAGCACTTCACCCTCCCACTAGCACTGCATGAATGCCTATTGCTCTCAGCCTTAGTAACACAGGTTCTTATCTGTCACGCATTTCCCAATATGATGGGTGTGAAGTGGAACCTCTCTTTGCTTTCAATTTTCATTTCTCCCATTTTTAATGAGGCTGAACATGTTTTTGCGTGTGTGAGGGGCCATTCATGTTCTCTCCTCCATTTTTTTCCTCTCTTTTATAGCAGGGTTGGTGGTCTTTTTTTTTGTAAAGAGCCAGATAGTATCTTTGGCTTTGTGGGCCATGCAGTCTCTGTCACAACTATTCAGTTCTGCCACTGTAGCTCTAAAGCAGAAGCAGGCAACATGTACATGAATGAGCATGGTGACTGTGTTCCAATAAAACTTTATTTACAAAAACAGGTAGTGGGCTGGATTGGCCAACTTCTGATGAATAGCATTTCTTTATAAATTCTGAACATGAGTACTTTAAAAAAATGTAGCAAATATCTTCTACTATTATGTGGTTCATCTTTTCCACCTAGTGTATCATATTTTTGATGAACAGAATTTCCTGTTTTGATTTTTTTAAAATAGTAAACAAGATTTGCTGATCCTTAATACCTGCCTGGGTTTATTTCCCATCTTGTCTTCAATATGATCTAGGCTTTCTGGAAGTTGAATGGGGGAGCGTCTAACAAATAGCTACCTAATACCTAGACAGATGACATCATCTCCGTGTGCAGGTAGGACATTAGATGGTTTCTCTAGGGAAACACAGAGAAAAGTATTGAGAGCAAGGAGTGCTGTTCTGTGAGGCCGCTGCTTACCCTATGTCTGAGCAGTGCTGCCTACCAACACCAAAGACCCTCAAGGTCCCCAGGGAAGGAGTATTTCTCCCACATAGACACTGGGAGTACTTACCAGGTTTGATGGGCTGCCTGTTCGAGAAGGTCAGAGGCGCAACGAGGAATTTGGTCTCTGCAACTGGCACCCAGTGGTGGAGAATTTTCACTGTCCAGACCCCAGGCCTCAGGGGCAAGTTCAAAGGGGGCTTGTAGTGTGTGAATTCGGCAGTGGACTCAATGAGGATGTCGTAGGTGGCTGCGATGACATTGACGGGATCCACCCAAATGACGGTCACGGTCACATTAGGTCCCTTCCCCCACTTCTGCATACCCACCGGCTCATCCATGGGCCCCAGAAGACCCCCAAAGTTGCGGAATAGCCTCTCCTTGGCATCCCAGTCAGTGCCGACCTGAAACAGGGGAGTGAATTCTGAAGTCACTGGGCCTGAACTAGGGGGCTAGGTCTCAGAAAGGTCTAGGATCCCCTTTGTTAGCTTTCATATACCCATTTTACAGATGAAGAAACTGAGGCTCCAACTAAGTCACCTGCTCAAGGTTGCACAGCTTGTAAGCAGAAGATCTGGCATCTGGACTCAGTCTGAAGGATCAAAAGGCCTGTGGTCCTTTTATTAAACCACCGGGCCTCCTGTGCCTGGTGTATGGCATGTGCTTTGAAAAGAAAACCACACATGAGCTGAATGAGTGAATGAATGAACGAATGAATGAATGAATGAATGCATGTCTTGCTTGCAGGCCATTCCACAGAAACATACACCCTGCCACTCAACAGGTACAGCGGGTTTCCAATTCCATCCTTGGTTTTCTAAATCACACACCTCCACTTGGTGCAATGGTTCTGAACAAGAATAGAGATCATGTTTTTACAGCTGCTCTATCATAAGCTAGAGACCCTCAGCATTGCCTGTCATCTACAGGGGTTCAAATAGGTTTCCTAGGAAGAGACAGCTTTGGCTTTCCCAAGGCACCTAGATCTGGACTGTAAGCATGAGAGTCATCCTGCGATCCTTCCTTCCTGCCAGCCAGCTGGGGGTGTGTGCAGCTGTGACCCACAGCAATCCTCTCTGGTGGGCTTCCCTCCTTCCACTTGTGCCACCTGCAATTTCTTCTATATCCTGTAGTCAGAAAGGCCTTGTAAAATGTCCTCTTACTGCTGCCCCCAGGCTTCTTAGTGCACTCAGAGTCTGAGCTCACCCCATCCTCCATCTCCATGACCCCCTCCCCATCTTTCTCCAGGATGCCTTGTTTTAGCCACCTCAATCAAGGCAGGCTCATTCCCAGCTCAGCTTTCCTGCACCATCTGCCCTGTGTGGAATACTCCTTTCTTGCACAGCCAGCCCCTTATGTCTAAAGCTGCCTCACAGAGTCTTTATCTGACCACCCCCCACCCCAAATTTCAAATGGACCTTCAGTCAATCTGTGTCATTCCCTACTGCTTTATTTTCTTCCTATCAGTGGTGATAAGCACTATCTCAGAGTTGTCTGTTGATGTATTTATTCTTTATCTCCTCCAGCTGTAATATAAGCTCTGTGTGAACAGGGGTTTTACCTGGCTGGTTCCCTGCTCTTTCTTGGTGCCTACTACCATGCTTAGTACACAGCAGGTGCTCGAGTAATGTTTGTTGAATGAATGGGTGAATGGCTTGACCAAAAACTGAATGAACTAGGGAGATTCCTGACAAGGACCTTTGTTGCTATTTCAAATCAAATTAAATTAGGGGTCATCTAATTTGAAAAAAAGATCTCCCCCAGGTGGATTAACTTAGTGGTTTTGAGGACACAGCATGTGGGCATGTTGGGGCAAATAACGGGTACAGTATGAAGCTTGCACTGCCTCTGCTGTCTTCCCATAATTAGCATCTCTAATGTGTGTGTGCACGAAGGTCGGGTGTGGATACACATACCCACATTCTGAGATTTCCTATGTGCAGGGGAAATAGGAGCTGATCTAGCTTCTCATTGTTCTTGCAAGAGGTACTATGTCAGTCCATTCTTTACCCAGCTTACAGAGCTTCACTGCTAATATTTGCTGAGGGATTACAGTGTGCCAGGCAGACGTGTCCATTCAGTTGATACTCCCAAATCCATAAAGGGGAGACCCTTGTCATTATCTTTACTTTACAGATGTGGAAACTGAGTCTCAGAGAAGTGAGATAACTCGCTATGGTCAGAGGGGGCAGAGCCAGCATGGGAACCCATAAAGTCCAGCCCCAGAGGCTGCATTCTCATCCACTGTGCTACATATTGCCTTCCATTCATGAATTCATTCACTCTCTCAGTCATTCATTCACCCAACACACATAAACCAAATCCCTACTGCCTACCAGGGGTGGCTGCCATCTGTGTACACTCACTGGCATGTGTCTTGCTTTCAGTTTTCATCAGGCCAGAGACTAAAGATTAGGACTAAGAAAGCATCCTGAGAGTAACAGAGGTAGTTACTGCTCTGATGTTCCTGTGGGGGCTGCCATCCCTCCCAGACTTATGAAATCTTGGTATTTTTCTACTACCCTGTGGATCAGCAGGGACCAGCACCTTCTGGGACCCTCCAGTGCCTAGCATAGTGCCCGGAACACAGTAGGAATTAAAAGGATACTATTTATTGAAGGAATAAATGAATGATCAACAGGATTCAGTTCAAGCTTCAAGGTCTTAGAGGTTTTTCTAAAGAAACCCGATTTCTATTTTCCTGCTTACAACCCCTTTCAGCAACTCTTGGTTTCTAAGTCCAGTTGCTTTACCTGTCCTGGAGACCTTTCTGGTCTGGCTCCGGCTTCACTTCTGTCATCTCTATCCCTCTCCCTCCCTTCCACTTGCTCCTTGCTCCAGGCCACCCTGGGTTATTCCCAGCACCTCATCCGGAAGGGCTCTGTGTTTCCTCTTGATCTTCTGGCCATGATCCGCCTGTTCTCTGGACCGGTCTACCTTTCCCCGCATCCTCCAGGCCACCTCAAACTTGTAATCTAGATTTTGGCTCAGGCATCACCTCTACTCATAAGTCTTTCCTGGATAGAGGCACCACTGAGGTACATATCTAAGCATTTGATCATCATAGCTTTTCTCCTGACCCCCACAGTACTGCATCTTTTAATTTACAGGTCTCTCTCTCTCCAGATCTAGACCGTCAACTCCAAGAGGGCAGGGACTATATATGGCATGCTCACCAATATGTCTCTAGTGTCTGAAACAGTGCTGAACATAGAGTAGGTGCTCAATATATCTCTATAGAGATCTAAAAATAAAGATATATTGAGCACCTATTGTCTATTGATCGATCAATGATCTATACAGATTGATCATCTACTTATGTGTGTTTATCATCTATCTCTACCAATCTGTCACATTAATCTGTCAACTCTATTGTAACCATTAATCATCTATCCATCTGTTTGCCTATTAACGTATCCACCCATCTGTCTGTCTGTTAATCAATCTATGTATCACCTGTCTATCAATCTATCTTGAACACATATTGAATGAGTAGGGGCTGAACACATGGACTTCCCTCCATGCACTAGTTTCCAACAGATACTAACAAAACAGATGAATGGCCACAAAACTACTTTAGGGTCATATTTAAGGAGGTGATTTTTCACCAGTTAGGGGAAGATGGGAACCCTCCAGAACACTGCCCTTGGATCCTCCAAAGAAATGAGGATAAACACTTCCCTGAAATCGAGTTTTAAAACCAAGATAACCTGGGCAGGAGAGTTCTGGAGCAGCTGACAAACAACCTGGATCTTGTTTTTCAACCGAGGAGCGTGAAGGGTGAGGTGTGGGGCAGCCTGAGCTAGGGCCCTGCTGCTGTCACATCCTCCAAGACCTTCTCAAGGGGCCTCATTGTGGAAGTCCACCACCATCCACTGCAGAATGGTCAATTACCCAAATTCAAATACATATTCAAATTCAAGCTTAACATACTGCTCCCTGGCTTCCAACCAACCAATGGCTTTCCATTGCGTTTATTTATTTATTTTTTGAGTTTATAATGTGTATGTATATGTATATATTTCAATAGGTTTTTGGGGAACAGGTGGTGTTTGCTTACATGAATAAGTTCTTTAGTGGTGACTTCTGAGATTTTGGTGCACCCATCACTTGAACAGTATACACTGCACCCCATGTGTAGTCTTTTATCCCCTATATCCCCTCCCCTATATCCCCCAACCCTTGCCCATGAGTCCCCAAACTCACTGTATCATTCTTAAGCCTTGATTTCCTCATAGCTTAGCTCCCTCTTATGAGTGAGAACATACAACGTTTGCTTTTCCATTCCTGAATTACTTCATTTAGAATAATGGTCTCCAATTCCATCCAGGTTGCTGCAAATACCATTGTTTCGTTCCTTTTTATGGCTGAGTAGTATTCCATGGGGTATATATATATATATGCGCACACACACACACACACAATTTATTCACTGATTGATGGGCTGCTTCCATTTTTTTTGCAATTGTGAATTGTGCTGCTATAAACATGCGTGTGCAAGAATCTTTTTTGTATAATGACTTACTTTTCTCTGGTAGATAGCCCACAGTGGAATTGCTGGATCAAATGGTAGAACTACTTGTAGTTCTTTAAGGAATCTCCACATTGTTTTCCATAGTGGTTGTCCTAGTTTACAGTCCCACCAACAGCATAAAAGCGTTCCCTTTTCACCACATCCATGCCAACATCTGTTATTTTTTGGTTATGGCCATTCTTGCAGGAGTAAGGTGGTATTGCATTGTGGTTTTGATTTGCATTTTCCTGATCGTTAGTGATGTTGAGCATTTTTTCATATGTTCGTTGGCCATTTGTATATCTTCTTTTGAGAACGGTCTATTCATGGCCTTAGCCCACTTTTTGATGGGATTGTTTTTTCTTGCTGATTTGAGTTCCTTGTAGATTCTAGATATTAGTCCTTTGTTGGATCTACAGATTGCAAAGATTTTCTCCCACTCTCTGGGTTGTCTGTTTACTCTGCTGATTATTTCTTTTGCCTTGCAGAAACTTTTAAAATTAAGTCCTATCTACTTATCTTTGTTTTTGTTGCATTTGCTTTTGGGTTCTTGGTCATTAAGTCTTTGCCTAAGCCAGTGTCTAGAAGGGTTTTTCCAATTTTATCTTCTAGAATTTGTATGGTTTCATGTCTTAGATTTAAGTCTTTGATCCATCCTCAGTTGATTATTGTATAAGGTGAGAGATGAGGATTCGGTTCCATTCTTCTACACGTGGCTTGCCAATTATTTCTGCACCATTTGTTGAATAGGGTGTTCTTTTCCCACTTTGTTTTTGTGTGCCGTGTTGAAGATCAGTAAGTATTTGGCTTTATTTCTGGGTTCTCTATTCTGTTCCACTGTTCTATATGCCTTTTTTTATACCAGTACCATGCTGTTCTGGTGACTATGGCCTTATAGTATGCTTTAAGGTTGGGTAATGCAATGCCTCCAGATTTGTTCTTTTTGCTTAGTCTTGTTTTGGCTATGCAGGCTCTTTTTTAGTTCCATATGAATTTTAGGATTGCTTTTTCTAGTTCTGTGAAGAATGATGGTGGTATTCTGATGGGAATTGCATTGAATTTGTAGATTGCTTTTGGCAGTATGGTCATGGTCACAATATTGATTCTACCCATCCATGAGCATGACATTTGCTTGTGTCATCTATGACTTCTTGCAGCAGTGTTTTGCAGTTTTCCTTGTAGAGGTCTTTCACCTCTCCTTGGTGGGTTTGGGTTTGTTCTTGTTTCTCTAGCTCATTAAGGTGTGACCTTAGATTGTCTATTTGGGCTCTTTCAGACTTTTTGATGTGGGCATTTAATGCTATGAACTTTGCACTTAGCACTGGCTTTGCTGTATCCCAGAAGTGTTGAATTCAGGAGCAAGTTATTTAGTTTCCATGTATTTGCATGAATTTGGGGGTTCCTTTTGGAGTTAATTTCCAATTTTATTCCACTGTGGTCTGAGAGAGTATGTGCTGTAATTTTGATTTTCTTAAAATTGTTGAGACTTGTTTTGTGGCCTATCATATGGTCTATCTTGGAGAATGTTCCATGTGCTGATGAACAGCATGTATATTCTGCAGTCGTTGGGTAAAATGTTCTGTAAGTACCTGTTAAGTCCATTTGTTGTAGGGTATAGCATAAGTCCATTGTTTCTTTATTGACTTTCTGTCTTGATGAACTGTGCCAATATTACTGTGTTGCTGTCCATCTCATTTCTTAGGTCTAGTAGTATTGTTTTGGGAGCCCCAGTGTTAGTGCATGTATATTTAGATTGTGGTGTTTTCCTGTTGGACTAGTCCTTTTATCATTATATAATGTCCCTCTTTGTCTTTTTTAATTGCTGTTGCTTTAAAGTTTTGTTTTGTCTGGTAAGAATTGCTACTCCTGCTCACTTTTGGTGTCCATTTGCATGGAGTATCTTTTTTCACCTTTTTACCTTAAGTTCATGTGAGTCCTCAGGTGCCAGGCAAGTCTCTTGAAGACAGCAGACACTTGGTTGGTGAATTCTTATCCGTTCTGTATCTTTTAAGTGAAGCTTTTAGGCCATTTACATTCAACATTAGTATTGAGATGTGAGGTACTATTCTATTCATCATACTATTTGTTGCCTGAATACCTTGGTTTGTTTCATTGTGTTGTTTTGCAGGACCTGTGAGATTTATGCTTTAAAGAGATTCTATTTTGGTTTATTTTGAGGATTTGTTTCAAGATTTACAGCTCCTTTTAGCAGTTCTTGTAGTGCTGGCTTGGTAGTGGTGAATTATCTTAGCATTTTTCTGAAAAAACTGTATCTTTCATTTATGAAGCTTAGTTTCACTGGATACACGATGCGTGGCTGGTAACTGTTTTGTTTAAGGAGGCTAAAGACAGGACCCTTCTGGCTTGTAGTGTTTCTGCTGTGAGAAATCTGCTGTTAATCTGATGGGTTTTCCTTTATAGGTTACCTGATGCTTTTGCCTCTTAAGGTTATTTCCTTTGTCTTGACTTTAGATAACTTGATGACTATGTGCCTAGGCATGATCTTTTTGCAATGAATTTCCCAGGTGTTCTTTGAACTTCTTGTATTTAGATGTCTAGATCTCTAGCAAGGCTGGGGAAGTTTTCCTCAATTATTCCATTATTCAAACTTTTAGATTTCTCTTCTTCCTCAGGAACGCCAATTATTCTTAAGTTTGGTTGTTTAACATACTCCCAAACTTCGTGAAGGCTTTGTTCATTTTTTAAAAATTCTTTTTTGTGTTTGTTGGAGTGAGTTAATTTGAAAGCCTTGTCTTCAAGTTCTGAAGTTCTTTCTTTTACTCGTTTGATTCGATTGCTGAGACTTTCCAGTGCATTTTGCAATTTTGTAAGTGTGTCCTTCATTTTCAGAAGTTGTGATTGTGTTCTATTTAGGCTATATTTCACTGGAGATTTTTCCATTCGTATCCTATATCTTTTTTTTTAAGTTGGACTTCACCTTTCTCTGGTGCCTCCTTAATTGGCTTAATAGTCGAACTTCTTAATTGTTTTTCTGGTAATTCAGAGATTTCTTCTTGATTTGAATCCATTGCTGGTGAGCTAGTGTGATCTTTTGGGGATGTTAAAGCAAGCCAATTCACAATTCCTTGGCTGTCCCACAGTGCCTGCAGGGGCAATCCACCTCCTTCAAAGGCTCTATGGATTCTCTTGGCTTTCCTGGCATGTTTCTGCAGTAGTTCTTGGAGCAAAAGTTCATGATGTGGGGCTCCATACACTGCTCTGTCCATCCGAGTGGAAGCTGCAAGTTTGTCTTGCCTCCTATCCGCCATTTTCCCTCTATCTTTCCATTGCATTTAAAATGCAACCTGAACATCTTTCCCGGGCCTGCAAGACTACTCCCTGAGGCCTCTTTCCTACCAGTTTCCTTCTCACTTGCTGCACCCAGTACATTGGTCTCCCTGCAACTCGAGTACTCCTAGCTCATTCCCAGTGCCTAAGGGCCTTTGTATATGCTCTTCTCTCTGCTTGGAATGCTCCAGATCTCCCGAGGACTGGCTCTTTTACAGGCTTTAGCTTTGCAGTGATCTCCTTAGAAAAGCCTTCCTAGATGAATCAATCATTCTATTGAAGGTTGTCCCCATCAATGTCCTGAGTCCCCAGCAATCACATGAATGAAGTTTTCTCTAGAATACCTGTCATTAGCTGAGCTGTTTGTTTTTGTTTATCTATTTGCTCACTCACTGGCTGGCTGTCTCATTGGAATGCAATTCCATGACCACAGGGGCCTGGTTTGTTTGGTTCACCACAATCCCTCCTGAACCTGGCACACTGTAGGCACTTGGTGACTACCTGCAGAAAGAATGAGCATCTTTTATTTCCAAGTCAACAGCATGAGATTCCCATGTATTGGAGAAATGTATCTGAGCTGTTCAGCCACCTGCTGTGAGCCAGGCACTGTACAAGGCCCTGGGATAGTGCTAACACCAAGGAGATCCTAAATAGCCCACAGAGTGGTCCTGTAGTTCTTCCTTGCCTTTCTGTTCATTTGCTACTAAAATTAAGAGTTTAGAAAAAATTCAAAATACAAGTTAGGGCTCTCTGCATCACATGCTGTTATTTTTGCCAGTGATTTTGATGGTTCTCACTCCAAGGGTACCAGACCTGTGTAGTGAGGACCATCCCCCAAAAGCACTAGCCATGGAGCGGCCAACATCATTTGTCACTGCCAGAAGTACCCAGTCACCCAACAGCAGGCTGATAAACAGGGAGAGCCCAGACACCAGGCATTCATCTCTTTAATGGGACATTAATGTTGTCAATTGGCTGCTCAGGCCCCTAGCACAGAATCGAACTGGGGCAGTATCTAATTGCCCCCTGATGCCAGTAATTTATGGAATGGGCTCCCTTGGCTGCTCACATCCAGCAAATCCACTGGGAGTCTTAATTGAAAACAGTGGCTTAACAAGAAACTCTCACTGGTGCCTGTTTGTCATGGGGATACATACATTCGTTAGGCAGGGCCACAGAAGCTAGAGAAGGACTGTCAAGGAAAATATAAGAGGGTGGGACTCCCCCTCTCCCCAACATACTCTTAGCCCCTCAAGATGTACCATAGTCTACAATCAGACTCTTGGTCCCTAATCCAGCAGTCAGAACCATTGTGACAAATCACGTCCTTAGCACTTAGGGATGTGAGGAAGGCAGAAACCAGGTGCTGCAGTTTTGTGTGAATAACACGCACCAGGCTTGATCATGCTTCCCCTTCCTTCCTGCACCACGACCCAAGTACACTCATTCATTCATTCAAAAGTCTTACTCAGCATCTACAAAGACTACATACTGTCTGTGTGCTGGGGATACCACAGTGAAGAGGGAGACACAGTTCCAGCTCTCTTGTGAACAATCAATGAGTGACCAGATAAAGCAACAAGATAATTTTAGATAGTAAATGCTAAGAAAAAGTATTAAAATAGGGAAGGGTTGGATGGAGAATGTAGCTATTGCAGCAGCTTAAGTGGGTGCCGGGGAAGGTTTCTCTGAAGGTGTATCATTTGGATTTAGATCAGAATGATCAAAAACAAAGCTAGCTATGTGACCCATCTGTCCATCCATCCTTCCTTCAATCCATCATTCATCTACTCATCTAATCATATATTCAGTGATTGATCTGGTACTTCCCTTGAGCGAATCCAGGTGTGCTAAAAACTGTGGAGACAAAACCACAACTAAGCATAGGATTTGTGGCCAAAGAGACCTAGGTTGAATTTTGAGCTCTCCCACTTCCTAGCAATCCAGAAAATCTTTGGATCTCTATAAGCCTCAGTTCTCCATTCGGTAAAATGGGACTAATATTACTGACATTGGTTTAGGAGTCATCACTGGAAAAATTCAGAGGAGCAGAAATTCTACCCTAAAAAATACAACTGTGTTCCAGTTGGTTTGATCCTCCCCTGTTTAAGATGCTGGTGCCAGTGACTGGGGCCGGAGAACCTTCTTCGGGCACAGGGTTAGCTTATCTTTAGGGATCTCCAAGTCCTCTTCTCCTCCATCTCCAACTAGAAGTGTCAGATAGTGGAGTAGAATCTGGCCGAGGGAAATGCAAAATACAATGAAATGTGACAAGACCTGGCCTCTTACCTCGGAAAACTGAAGCCTCCCAAAGTCACTGGGTGGGCTTGCGATCTTGAAGACTTTTTTCGGCATCACCCAGGTCTCCAGAGTCTCTAGTTTGCTCACAGCCAGATTGGTAGCATGATGCTTGATCAGAAAGCCCTGGAAGCGGTCAGCAAGGAAGTAGAGGTGCACAGATGCTGGGTGGCCCATTGGGTAGTATCTGAAAACACAGGCGCTCATGCATTAGGGCCCAAGGTGTGTAGGATCACAGTGAGGCTCCCCACCCACCAAGCTAGTTTTGTTCCTAAAGCAGTCCCCATTGTGCACAATGCCTACTGTTTTCCTTGCGTCCTCTGTATCTATGATCTCAATGACTATGAATACTTTTTTCTTCTGCTGATTATGAATGAAAAACATGCTGACTGTAGGAAAGTACAACAAAGAAAGTGAAATGACTACTTTCCATGCCTCTTCCCATACATAATGTCCATTCACAGATATTGAGTCCTCTGGTGCTTGGTACCGGGCAGTGAAAATGGTGTGTGAACACTCATATTGATGGATTTCCCTTCGGCCTTATTTCCTATGCATCTATTTGCATAAATACTATTTGCATAAATACTACATAGTTGGCATCTATCTATCCTAGCTATTATTCTGTCTTCATTGTATAGTATTTCCTGAGGATTATCACATCTTTGAAAAGTCTCTGAAGACACGATTTTGTATGTGTTGATGCTCGGTGTGTTTCATCATAGTTAATACCAGATTTGATAGAGCAAGTTCTCTAGCATTGGATGATAACTCTAATTTTTTGCTTCTCTAAACAATGCTGCATTCAACATCTTTGAGCAAAACCTTTCATTCGTCTCTCTCTCTGTTTAAATGTCTGAGGCTCTTCGTGTCTGCAGCTTAACTGTTTCAGAAGTACTGATTTATTCTCTCACAGTCCTTACCACTTACACTGGTTATCATCTTTAACCATGATTGCCAATCTGAGATAAACACACATGCACATACATGCAAAAGTGGTTTGTTGTTTTAAAATGCACGTCTTTGATCCACAAAAACTTGCTGGCTGAAAAGGGCAGGGAAGTGAAGCAGAGATGTCCGGAGAAAAGGGGGAAGCAGATGGCAAAAAAGGAGTACCTCGGAGGAGACCAGTTTGGTATATTTCCTACTTGTCAGATAAATAGCTGCCGCTTCTGCAATGTGTAAATTGCACAGCTTTATAAGGCGCTTGTGGGTCCTTCATAATAGCATTTCACAAATCATTGTCCCTGCTCAGCTAAACGCAGCCTTCCCTCTGGTCCTGATCTGGAGTTTTAAGTCTTTATGTCCAATTATAACAGTTAGGGAAGCTGCCTTCCTGTGTTCACACATCTCCTGAAATCATTGCCTTGTTACTGGGATGCCTTCCAGGGAGCATAGAAAAAAAAAAAAAAAAAAAAAAAAACTTGAACAGTCTTCAGATGGTTTGTTGGGCATTCACCGTTCATGCAAACCTGTTTTAAATCTGGACTTTGGGAGTGGAAAGTCCAGCGACTGTGCTGTCATTCTACCACTGCAGCAACATCTAGGCAGGGCTATCACATAAAACCTCCTGCGATGACAGAAATATTTTATTTATTTATTTTTGAGGCAGAGTCTCACTCTGTTGCCCAGGCTGGAGTGCAGTGGCATGATCTTGGCTCACTGCAACCTCCGCCTCCTGGGTTCAAGCGATTCTCCTGACTCAGCCTCCTGAGTAGCTGGGATTACAGGCATCAGCCACCATGCCCGGCTAATTTTTGTATTTTTAGTAGAGACGGGGTTTCACCATGTTGGCCAGGCTGGTCTCAAACTCACTCCTGACCTCAAGTGATCCGCCCGCCTCGGCCTCCCAAAGTGCTGGGATTACAGGTGTCAGCCACTGCGCCAGGCCAAAAGCTTTTTATTTCCATAGGATTTTGGGGAACAGGTGGTGTTTGGTTGCATGAGTAAGTTCTTTAGTGATGATTTGTGAGACTTTGGGAAAGCTGTCTCCCAACCCACTAGCAAAGTGTGACTGTTCAGCCCTTGAAATATGGCCAATGTGACTGAGGAACTGAATTTTAAATTGTATTTAGTTTTAGTTAATTTACACTGAAGTAGCCACTTGTGGCTACCGTATTGGACAGCAAAGATAGTCATGAAAGAGCCAGTGGTCACCTGCATTAATGTCCCAAATCTCCCATCTCCTTTATCTTATGCTTTCTTCCATGTGACTTTGCAAGTTTCCTTGTACCCGGGAGGCAGAACCTATTTTTCTACCTCTGGAATCTTCTTTGGACAACAGAAAGTGGTAGAAGGGCTGTCACGTCAGTTCTGAGCCAGGGCCTCAAGATGCCTTGCACATTTCTGTTTGCTTTCTTGCTCTTTTGAGGTCACCATGAGAGCATGCCTGGGCTAGCTTGCTGGAGAAGGAGACATTTGAAACAGCAGAGCTACGCCAGTTGTCCCAGCTGAAGCCATCCTAGGCTCAGGCAACTATTCCCAGCCAAGGACCACAGAGCCACCTCCCGACTTGCAGTTGGCTGCAGATAGGGGAGCAAGGCCTGCCCATACTGGGAAAACTGTCCAGCTGATCTGCGAACTTGAGCATTACATGAATGCATATTGTTTCAAAACACTGATTTGGGAGTTGTTTGTTTCACAGTGTTATCGTGACAATAGACAAAGCACTGCCAGTGTGTGTTCTGTGAGGTGGGTAAAGCAGGAGAATTTGCTGTTACGGGAGTCAAAGGAAGAGAGTGTTTCCAGAAAGCAGCAGTCCAAAAAATTTAGAAGTCAATCTTTGATTACTTGCCTCCCTTCACCTTCTTTATATTTTTTGAGATGGAGTCTCTGTCACCCAGGCTAGAGTGCAGTGTCGTGAAACTGGCTCACTGCAACCTCTGCCTCCCGGGTTCAAGCAGTTCTCCCTGACTCAGCCTCCCGAGTAGCTGGGATTACAGGTGTCAGCCATCACACCTGGCCCCTTCCATCCTCTATTCTCCTTACACACTGCCAGAATCCCGGTCAAAGCCACCATCCTTTTATACCTGGGCCTCTGCAGGAGCTTCCTTAATTGTCACCCTCTCTTACTTTTGCCCACTATAACCTGTTCCCATAGTAGCCACGTCCATCGTCCCTCACTTAAATGCCACAAGCACTTTGCTTCATGCTTTCAGTAAAATCCAAACTCCTTACCTGGTCCACAAAGCCCTACCGCTTTCTCTAGCCCCCTTTTGTTTCCTGCTACCCTAATCCACCACTTCCTTCCTCATTGCTGCCTCTGACTTGTCACTCTCACATGACTTTATCTTCATTTTTTGCACAGCATTTACCCTTATTGATCTTATATTCTGGTTTACTTGTGCTTAGGTACTGTCTGTCTGCACACTAGAATGGGAGGGCTTTGAGTTCACAGGCCTGGTCCGCCTGGATCAAGGCTGAATTCTCCGTGCCTAACACACAGGCTGACACACGATAGCTACTCAATCAGTACTTATTGAAGGAGTGAAAATTCTAGAAGGATTTTCTCTTGAACCTCAAGTTACATCTACAGTCCCTGTAACCAAGGAGTGAGCACAAAAGCCCTCTGATGCCTCATCCTGACTGTATTTGGTATCTAAGTAATGAAAACTGTTAATGTCTCAAAACAGAAAAATAATCAAGATGCCGCACAACCAATCATCATCTACAGGAATGCAACCGAAGTATTCGTTTGGCCCAAAGCTGTTTTTCTTTCTTATTTAAATACGATGAGCACTAAAAAAAATTAGGAGATTTGGTTGGCAACTCCATCTGCATTCCCACGGAATGTACTGGGGTTCAGCTCCATGGACCTCCAGGTTCCCATGGTCAGCCCACCCTGCAGGGGGCACACTGAGTGATTCTAGTGCTTCGTGCCTGCCCCGGAGGGCATTTGGGGACCTGCAATAAAATGCTGACATCCTTATTTCTGGATGGTAGATTATATGCAAACTTTACTCTGATTCTCTCAACCTGCCATTTCAGAAACTTCTGCAATGCATATGTGTTAGTTTATAATGAGAAAAAAAAATCAATAAACATTATTTAATGAAAGGTTATATTATAGACTGGAAAGGCACAATTTGCCTAAAATACCCAGATAAAATGAGACTGTTAAAGTTTTCACTTGCTGTTTCCCCACATGCCCCGGGGCTAGGAATCCATTCTCTTCTGCCTTTTGGGATAAGGGTCTTTTGTCCTGATTTATTTTCAGGCTCCTATTCATAAATACATTGGCTTTGCCCACAGCAAGGCACCACAGTTCCATTACAATAAAAAACGAGGTGGATACCAGAGGATTCCTGGCTCGAGGCAACGTGACGGCTCACTTCATTCCAAAATGAATACTAGGGAGCAACCTTCAACAACCCTAGATAAATTGGGGGTGTCTTTTGGAATTTCCTGTAAGATCATTTACCTTATACATTCTAGGAAGCCTGCAACTGTAATTATTATGGAACGACATTTGCCTTCCAAGTGGCAGGCACTGCACTGTCTACTGGGGATACATGCAGGGATTCTGCTTCCAGACTAGCAGTGGGGGGGAGAGAGACTCCCTGGTGACCTTGAGCCAAGATACCGCACATACTGAAGGTGAAGTCCCTGAACTACTTTCAGCTTGGGAGACGGTGGGTGTGGGGTGAGCTATCTTAATAAGTGTCATAGAGGAGGTGGTCCTTGGATGGCTTTGTTGACTTGAGAAGGGGTGGCTGTGCAGTGGGAGGCAGTGAGCAAAGAAAATACAGGGAGAGAACAAGGAATTGTTACCATCACACACAGCAGGTTCACTGTTGGCTGCATCATAATGGCAACTGGCAACTAAGATACCAGCAATGACCTGAACCCTGAGCAGTTAGTACATGGCAACTGGCAACTAAGATACCAGCAATGACCTGAACCCTGAGCAGTTAGTACATAAAATGCTGTTAAAATGGGAATAACAAGGCTGGGCGCAATGGCTCATGCCTGTAATCTCAGCACTTAGGGAGGCTGAAGCGGGAGGATTGCCTGAGGTCAGGAGTTCGAGACCAGCCTGGCCAACCTGGTGAAATCCTGTCTCTACTAAAAATACAAAAATTAGCTGGGTGTGCTGGTACATGCCTATAGTCTCAGCTACTCAGGAGGCTGAGGCAGAAGAATCGCTTGAACCTGGGAGGTGGAGGTTGCAGAGATCACATCACTGCACTCCAGCTTGGGCAACAGAGTAAGACTCTGTCTCAAAAGAGCACTGTATAACTAACTCATCAGGTAGTTTTTGATGATTATCTCCTTTACACTTCACAACACCTTATGATACAAAAATGATGAGTATTACTCTTCTCATTTCACAGATGAGGAAACCGAAGCTCAGAGAGATGAATGACTTGCCCAAGGTCAATAGCTTGTAAGCAGAGTTTAAACTGCAGGTCCTGGGTTCCTAACCCACACTAGTCTCCCTTTAAACTAAATCAGAAACTTTACGGAGAGAGAAGCCGAGGGATGTGAGGAGGTGATGGGACAGTGTCACAGCCCTGCGGAAACCTTGCTGGCCAGGGATGAGACACCAGGTGGGAAACCTGCCTGTGTTTTCAGAGAGTTAGTGAACAATCTTCTTCCCCCCAGCCCCGTCAGAGACTGACGCTAAAAAAAAAAGATGCTATGTTGTTAAATGAACAAGAAAAAGAAGGAGAGTGATTAGAGGCACTTCTGGGAATCTATCCTAAGGAAATAATCAAAAGAGAGAATGGAAAAAAAGGGCTTTCTGAGAAAAGATATTCATCAGAACATTATTTACAAGGGTACATTACTGACAATGGCAACAGTGAAGGGCCAGATTAAGCAAACTCTGGAACTTCTGCTCAATGGAATACTAGAGGCATTAAAAGGAATCATTATCATTGCGGAAGCTACTGAGCAGCGTGGAGAAATGGGGGCTAATAGTATAATGCCAAGGGAAGAAAACAGGATACCCAATTCTTGTTGCAATTATGTAAATATCCAAAATGCATATTGCTTCAGAACAAAAGAAAGGGTACACAACGTGAAAGTCTTGACTGGCTTAGGGAAAGAGATGAGAGGAGAAGGGATTATGTTGAATTATTTTCCTACCTCCCCCTCATCTTCTAGAACACTCTTTCCTGAAGTGTTGGCAGTTAGTGGTAGATGAGACAATTGTAAGGGGTGGTTGAGAAGTTTCAACAATAGTTCTGCCTATTAATTTTCTTTGTGATATTTTTAGGTGTGATGACATTATGGTGAATGTTTTTAAAAGAGTTATTTTTCAGAGATACATTATTAAAATATTGATGGCTGAAATGATAGGATGTCTGGGATTGACTTCAAACTGATCCGGGAGGAGGCGGAAGGTGGGTGAAGATGAAAATGAAACAAGATCAGCCCCGAGTTGGAAACTGCCGGGGCTGGGTGACGGGAACATGGGGTTCCACTGTTCTATGTTGTACATCTTTGACATTTTCCATCAAAAAAAGTTTTGTACCTTCCACTTAAGACAAATGCTACATATGATATGGTGACAAAAAGCTTCCTTCTAAAGTATATATATGTAGCATGAAGAATGAGTAAAATCATTGGGTACATAGGATATCTGGTATCTGAGAAAGTAAAGCACAGCTTGGATTGGAAATGCCACGCACGCTAGGAGGGTGGCGTTAGATGAGTTTTGGGCAAAGGAAGAGAGAAAGCATAGGGTGGCATTGCATTGCAGATCCCTAAAGAGGAAGAAGGACCCCCACTCTGTACCCTGAGCCTCCCCTCCTGCTTCTCAGCTCTCCTCTCTGCATCCCATATAGGGCTCACCGGCAGCTGTTCTCCCCATCCGTGTGCAGGGACGTCTCGGCCCGTCGAAGACCCAGGCGGGCAAAGGAGTGGTACAAGGTGAGTGTCACGTCGCTCAGGCTGTGGATGCCGTCAGGCTCATCGTAGACATTCTCCCAGTAGGAGCGCAGGCCCGGGGTACCTGCAGGGTAGTTCCCGTACAGGTAATAGTCCAGCTGCCCAATGATTTCCTGATTCACCACGGCTTCAAACTTGCGGGCAAAGAAGGTAGGCCGGGCTGTCTGCTGTACTCATGGGATTAAAAATAGAAAAGCCACATCAGCGAGTGCTGGGGGTTGGGGGGAACCTAAGGGCATATCCTGTGGTTAGAAGCAAAGCTCTGCTGGACCCGAATTAGCTCCGATACTTTTTGCACCTCTGTGTTCTCAGTTTCAACATCTGTAAAATGGGTTATAATAAGGGTGTGAGTTAATCTGTGCAGAACATCTAAAGCAATGATAGGCACTTAGTAAGCATCATTTCTTAGTAAGCATCATTTAGATGTCTGTTAAATAAACTAAATAATTTTAGATGGTAATAGCTGGGATGGATCTCAGACATCATTTAGGTACAGGTCACAGGCTAGTAATCTAGGGCAAATAAATACAGCCTGCAGATGTATTTTAGCTAGCCATATTTAAAACATGAAAGAGTTCACGGAAATTCTTTTGGCTTCTCTTTAAACAGCAATAGATCTGGCAACCCCAGGCCCACACTCCACATGGTAACAACTGGTTAAAGCTGAAGGGTGGTGGCTGTTCCTTTAGACAGCACCTAGGTTCTTCTGCTCACTGCAGTCTCCACCATGCCCTATTGCCTCTTTGGTATTTCAGCCAACTTGCAGACTCACAAGGGATCGGAATCTCTGGGACTTTGAAAAATTCAGATTCCAGGCCAGGCACACACCTGTAGTCCCAGCTGCTCAGGAGGCTGAGACAGGAGAATCACTTGAACCTAGGAGGTGGAGGTTGCAGTGAGCCGAGACTGCCGCTGCACTCCAGCCTGGGTGACAGAACAAGACTCTGTCTCAGAGAAAAAGGACCTACTGAGTCAATAGCTCTGGAGTGTAGCTCAAAAAAAAAAAAAAAAAATTCCCAGGTGATTATGATTCAGTGTTTCAGGACCACTGATAGCAACCAAACTCTCAAGGCAACAGGCCCAGAGATGGTAAGGGACTTAGCTGAGAACACACAGCAAGTCACTATCAGAGATGGGACGAAGAGTCAGGGTCCAGGGTTAAAGAAATACTAAGCACCTGTAAGCTACCAGGTGTTATACTTTATATTCAGTAAAAGGCCAGACAGTAAATATTTAAAATAGCTTTGAAACCTTCAGCTTCGCTTTTATAGCATAAAAGCAGCCACAGACAGACAAGAGACTAAATAAATAGGTATGGCTGTGTTCCAACTAAACTTCATTTATAGAAGCAGGCAGTGGGCTGACTTTGGCCCCCAGGGCTAGAGTTTGCTGACCCCTTGTGTAGGGCTGCGGAGACAAATAAAACACAGGTCTCTCCCTTGAGGAGCTTATTATTGTCTAGTGTTATTATTGACCTAAAGTTGGGTCCAGCACTGTTTTCATGGTGGTAGATTAATAGCAGCAACAACTACTGACCACACACAATACGCAGGGCAATGGACTTATGTCATTACCTCTAATTTTCCCTGTAACTTGGCAAGGCAGGTATTATGATTCCCATTTTACAGATGAGAAAACTGAGCTCAGAGAGGCAAAGCGATATGTACAGACTCACACCATTGTAAGATTTGAAGCCCAAATGCATGACTCCAAAATCCAAGCCCTTTCTACTGTATCACTCCAGGACTGAGGCAACTGAGTAAACTGGGAAGCCCCCTGATCGTAAGTACCCTTGGTGTTATTCTAAACATCTCATTGCCAGTCTGCTTCAGGAAACCTCTCTGTGGTGGGGAGCACAGCTTAGCACTGTAGAGAGTTAGACCACCTGAATTCAAATCCTCATTTGGCTACCGTCTAGCTGTGCAGGTCAAGTTACTCAAACTCTCTGGGCCTCAGCATCCTTAAAATGGGTTACTAGCATAGTGTCTAGCACATAGTGTAGGCTGCTCTTTGATTATTATCACCAGCCCCTTGTTACCAGGAACCCATCTAGGGGCAGAACAAACTCCTTTCTCTGCCTGCGATTCCGACCATAGCTGGATCTTCTAACAAACAGGGCACGTTACCATATTATTCTTTCTCTCCAAGTTCTTCGCGCAAGAACTCTGAGTTCCTTACAGGCAGCAGTGTCTTGACTCTAGATCTTGGGGGATATTCTTAATCTCTGCTTGCTGTGAACACATGAGGCACTCCTTGTCAGAGGCTACAATGTCCCCAGGATGCCGGGCTAGGATACAAATGCTTGTGCCTGGGGGAGTGCAGGGCTCTGGGAATCAGCACGTGGAGGTTTTGTGCTCTAAGTGATGAAGATTCTCTGCGATTAGGGCAGTGAGGGACGGGTCCTCTCCAAACATGGGAATTCATTGAATAGGTCAAACAAACATTCCCCTGCAACCCTCTTTCGGCTCAGCATATCCTTTCTGCAGGGAAGATGTGAGTTTAGGCAGCCCCCTGTCTGCCAGCTTAAGGTGGCTGGAGCTGCTGTGTGGGAACCTTAAGGGGAATACGAACGACAGAAAACCTGCAGTGTACTCTGCATTCATACAGGCACAAAAACCAGGAAGGCAGCAGGGACTGCTGGAAAAAAACCCCACTTGGAACACCCCTCCATGCCTTCGTTTCCTTACCTGAACAATAAAAGTGATGTCTGCCCCAGTAAAGCCAATGCCCACACAGCCCGGCACAGAGGAGATCAAACACAAACAAACAGCATCCCGCTCCACATCAAGGGCACCTTGGCTGGGTTATGAGCCTGGCATTGTGTCCCTGCCTTCCTGTGTTAGTGGTTTGGGAAGTAGCATACCGTCTCTACACGGTGGCTCTAGTGACCTCAGAGTGATTCGCTTAACCATTCAGTGGCACTCATATTTGTGCTCTCTGCTGCTAGGTGTGGGGAGGGCTGGAGGAAGAAGCCACCATGCTGGCTTGGAGGGAGCAGAGCAGGAAGGGGTGCCCATCTTGGGGCCAAGCACTCTCAGGGCTCATGGTAAGTGGATGAGCATTCCCCACCCTCCTGCTCTGCCCTTCCCCAGAACTGTAAATTGTTAGGCTGCCCAGAGACAGCTGTAAAGGGGATAATGTTCTACCTCTTCTTACTCCTTCAAGTACACAGAACACAGTGTTTTCCCACAGAACACAGTGGTTTCCAAACCTGGCTGCTCCTCAGAAAAGTGCAATTCATTAAAAATACAAATTCGTCGATATCACTGATGAGGGTTTCTCAACCAGAGGTGCTGCTAAGCATCCTACCCATGCATGGGACAGCATGTCCCAACAGAGAATCATCCAGCCACAATGGCAAGAGTTCTGAGGTTGAAAAGCTCAGCCCTAGATATATACTTAAAAGCATATTCCTGGGTACAAATGTAACAAATATTTTGGGAGATTCTGATGAAAAGGGAATAAAGAGAAGATGATATGAGTATGGCCTTTGGAAAGTTTTTTTTAACCTTTCTGTGCCTCACAGTTTTCATATCCCTAAAATGGAATAATAATGAAAGGTCATTTGTTGTTTTTGGGTTAATGAGTCAATGTGGTTAGAACATCCCTGAAGTAAGTGCTCAATAAACACTGGCTATTGTTGATACTGTTAACTATTATTAATTATCAACAGCCAGGTTTGGGCACCATGTGATAAGATGACCTGCAGGTCTGGCCTTGGATTTCTGCAGAGGTTTGTTGGGAAGGCATCACTTAGGAGGCTGGCAGACCATGAGAAAGTCTCACCTGGAAGCGGTGGAAGTCCTGCGGCTTGAAGTCATTGGGGGAGCAGCCGCACCAGTCCACGATGTGCTTGTACTGGCACTTGCAGCCCAGCTTGCGATTCCAGTTGGTGATGCGCAGGTTGTTGTCCACCATGGTGTCGCAGTGGGGGCTGTTCTCCAGGACCGTATGGAAGAAGGACTGCAGGGGAGAGAGGGACCCAGCCTGAGACCTCTCCCAGCCTCCCACAGATGAACTGGGGTGGGAAATGGTGAACCCTTGCTCTGAGTTCATGTAAGAACTGGTTGTTTAAAAGAATGTGGCATCTCATCAGAAGCTGGGCGGCTTCCTGTACAGCTTGCAGAACTGCAAGCCAAATAAACCTCTTTTCTTTATAAATTACCAAGCCTCAGATTTTCCTTCATAGCAATGCAAAAATGTATAACACAACTACCTGACTGTCAAGGGACTCTTATGTTCTCTGCATGCATTTGAGGTCAGCTGCCCATGTGGTCCAACTCAGAGCGCAGGCGGATGCTCTGTCCAACAGACAAATCAAAGGGATTCAAGTCTGACTGACTGACTGGTGTGCTGGAATTTCACCCCTGGGGTAGGGAGACCAGATTGATGGTTGCATTAGACCCAGGGCTTCCTGCATCGCCAGACGGCAACATAGGGAAGGGAGTGGGTGGGGCTGCTTGCTGTCCATGGTACTGAACCAGGTGCCATATTTTCTCCCTAATCCCAGGATTCTTGGCCAACTGCTTTAAGGGATCTGAGAAAGAGGCCATGTTGGATCTGAAAAGAAAAACTAGAGGAGAAACAATCAATCACTGGAGTACTTGAGAGACTGCCAGAGAGTGAGAGAAAGATTTCTATAATAGACAGTCCCAGGCAAATATATTTCCTCCCTGTTCTCTCTCCCTAAGGGAAGCTGTTGGGGAATCTGTGTCTGCCCGTTACAAGTTAATGGGCACAGCCTTCTGATTTCTTCTAAACCAGTCCTCTTGAAGTGGTCTGGGAGAAGGGAGGGAAGGCAGAGATGCAGGAGGTGGGACTGAACAGAGACCCTGGAGTATATGTGCTTGTGTGTGCTGGGGCCAGGGAGGGGCAGAGAAAGCACACACACGGAGCTTTGGTCACCAGTATCGTGGTGGGCGTCTTGATTAAAAATAGCCAAACTCCCAAACAATCTCTTCTAAATGGATGGGTGGGTAAATGAGGCTCCAGCCGCCACCCCCTGCTGACCTTCCTGTGACACTAAATGACAAGCCCATGAACCTGGATTTTAAGCTTGAATTGCCTACAAGCCCAGGGAGGCATACATTCTCCAACAAGCAGTGGGAAGATGTACCCAATTACTGATTGCCCTGTGTCCTTTCATAATGATACAGAAATTCCCTGCAATATAATGGATGAGGAGGTTATCAGAATTGAGAGAAGAGGTGATTGATTTTTGCTGAAATAGGATTAAAAGCTGATTACTTAACATGTGTGCAGAATAGTAAAACCTGGCCCAGTGATGACAAGCTCATCATCCCTCTGGGTGATGGGGGCAGTCAGCCCTCCCCGGAGCTTGGCACTGCCCCAGACACAGGTGAGAGATGTGCTGGGAGTGTGGCCTGCAGAAACACACATAACCTATGTGGTCCCGGGAAGGAACAAGGGACCGTTCATGAGAAATGCCATAGACTCAATAGAAACGGAACCAGCTCTGCACTGTTCTCAAGCTGGATTGGAAATGAGGGTGCAATCAACCTGGAGGTCAGGAAGATGAATCTGGAATCCCTCAACCCAGCTCTGACCGGCAGGCAGCTAAGGGAATGTCAGTGACAATCCTTCAGAACTGGATCCCCTCCCCACTTCTAGATGGGGCTAGGACTGTTTTAGAATACTCTGGATTAATGGAGTATGACTTATGAAACCAACACCCTTTTCTTCAGGGAATAATAGAGCAATGTTCAACATGAGAAAAGGCATGCTTGGTGTAAAAAGGTGGTCATTACATGATTGGTCATTGTGAAGGATGCGTCAAAAGTTGATGTGGCGGCCGGGCATGGTGGCTCATGCCTGCAATCCCAGCACTTTGAGAGGCTGAGGCAGGAGGACCACTTGAGGCCAGGAGTTCAAGACCAGCCTGGCCAACATGGCAAAACCCCATCTCTACTAAAAATACAAAAATTAGCTGGGTGTGGTGGTGGGCGCCTATAATCCCAGCTACTCAGGAGGCTGAGGCAGCAGAATTGCTTGAACTCTGGAGGTAGAGGTTGCAGTGAGCAGAGACTGTGCCACTGCAGTCCAGCCTGGATGACAGAGGAAGACTGTCTCAAAAAAAAAAAAAAAAAAAAAAAAAAAAAAAAAGTTGATGTGGGTGTGTCCTGAAAGGGTCAGCATATACAGTTGTGCAGGTTACACACTACATACCTTTTAGGGGTGCCATCAGCATTGTGGATGTCAGAAGGGTTTTTTAAATAACAGTTTTCTGGAAAATAGCCATAAGGTTCTTGTTCTAACAAAATCTGTGTATCATGTGATTTTTATGACCAATGAAAGCCAAGTATCTTGAGGAAGAGCTGCCTTTTCTATTTTGCACAAAGACACTGTGTGGACTGCCGGTGGTAGCACCGTGTGTCTACTCCACGCAGCCTCTGTGCAGACTGGAGGGAGACCAGGCATCCTGCTAAGACAGCAAGGATGTCTGGGTGTGTAGAGGACAATGTAGGTGGACCCAGAATCTCTTTGCCAAAAATTCAGCATCTGCTTTGCCACAAAGGCTAGAACAAGCCCCTATCTTTCTTGGGAAAATTTTCCCAGATACTCACCTCAGCAGGAAGCAGGGTGTAGGAGTAGAACTGTTTCATCTTGGTCACCAGATCGTCTGTGGAGAAGGTCACATATTCTACAAACCTCCGGTTCAGCAGGAACCAGTCCGAACCGCCATCCACGGCAATGCCCTCTGGGATCCGCCGATCTCCCAGGCGCCACATGTGAGCGTCGCACTCCAGGAAGAGCCGATCCAGGCCCTGCTTCCGAATGAACCTGGGAGGGAGAAAGCTGCCCTTAGCCCAGAGGTGTCCTGAAAGACAGAACTCCAGCCAGAGTCCAAATAAAACAACACAATCATAGCGATGATGGCAATTATTGAGTGCCTGCTGTGTGCCAGGTACTGCTCCAGGGCTCTGCGTGGAGTTTATCACTTGATCCCCACAAGTGAGGCATGTCACCGTATTTACCCCTATGACGCAGGTACTATTTGACCCCCAACTTTCATATGAGGGCACTGAGGCTTAGAGAGCCCAGGGGACTTACCCAGCACAGTCAGATGACAGTGATCATCTGCTACAGCTACTCCTTCTCTAGAGAACTTTGGCAACAACCTCCTTATGCCATAGAGGTCTTGGCAGTTTAGTGAATGCAGACCATGGACCCTTGTCTCAGAATAGTACTCTTCAATGCATACAACAAAATATACAGGGTTATGAAACAGCGAAAAATAAAAATCCACCAAAGTTCTGATATAAAGTAATGCCTGTGCTTCTTGACTCACACATTATATACAGGATTACAACATTTTTAAAATTTTTATTTTTTGAGACAGGGTCGTGTTCCGTTGCCTAGGCTGGAGAGCACTAGTGTGATCCTAGCTCCCCGCAGCCTCAAACTCCTGGGCTCCTGTGACCCTCCTGCCTCCAGCTCCTGAGTAGCTAGGACTACAGGCATGCATCACCATGTTTGGCTGATTTTTAAAATTATTTTTGTAGAGATGGGATCTTACTATGTTGCCTAGACTGGTCTTGAACTTCTGGCTTCAGGCTCCCAAAGCACTGGGATTACAGGCATGCACCGCCATGTCTGGCTGCTGCTTAAATTTTTTTGTAGAGACAGGGTCTCACGATGTTGCTTAGGCTGGCGTAAAACTCCTGGCCTCAAGCAATCCTCCCACCTTGGCCTCTCAAAGTGCTGGGATTATAGGTGTGAGCTACTGCATGGGGCCTGGATTACAAAATACATTTTAAAACACTGAATGTATGGTACTACGTGTGTTTCTTTATTAATACATTAAATAACAAGATATCATGGCAGGTCTATTAAATCCTGTAATTTTTTTTTTTTTTTTTTTTGAGACAGGGTCTCACTCGGTAGCTCAGGCTGGAGTGCAGTGGCATGATCTTGGCTCACAGTAACCTCCGCTTCCTGGGTTCAAGTGATTCTCCTGCCTCAGCCTCCTGAGTAGCTGGGATTACAGGCACACACCACCTCACCCAGCTAATTTTTTTTTTTTTTGTATTTTTAGTAGAGATGGGGTTTCACCATGTTGGCCAGGCTGGCCTTGAACTCCTGACCTCAGGTGATCCACCCACCTTGGCCTCACAGAGTGCTGGGGTTATAGGTGTAAGCCATTGCGCCTGGCCTAACTCCTGAAATTTTGAAGTAGTGGTGAGCATAAATGATATTTAGAGGTATCTGCACCAACTATAATGTGACAGGAAAATAGATGATTCCTACTGGTGACCGAGTCAGTTAGTTACTGCTAATACTACTGTGATTTGTTACCTACCTTTAGCTAGATTTCAGTTAGAATTCCATTAAAAAAGATATCATTTTCTTCTCATCCAAAATCACGAACCTCCCCTGAATTTTTCCCATGAACCCTAGATTAATAACTCCTACTGTAGTAACTATATACATATAATCATCTTGTTTAGAATTTTGCAAGGCAGGCTGGGCAGAGTTGGCATTTCCTATTTTGTAGATGCAGAAACCAAAGCTGTTCAGGTCCCAGAGCTGGTGACGTGGGCATGTTGGGAGGGTGGACAGAGCTAGAACCAAGGCTTTTGGGCCAAACGCTCAGTCCATTAGCAATTAGCATTCATTGCACACATAACCATCATTGCCATTACCATCATCACCATTTTCATTATCATCACTGTCACTGCCACCATCATCATCATCTCCATCTTCATTATCAGCACCACTATCACCATTTTCACGTATTACGTGCCAGGTACTGTGCTGGCCCATGGTACAGGTCAAGGAGAAGTAAGGACGAGCTCTGCTCCTAAGGAGCTAGTTATCTAGATGGGAGCTTACAGTCTAGAGTTGAACTCAGGGACCTTTCTGCTCCTTCAGGCTGCTGGCCCTTACACACGACCAGGACTCTGGATTTTTCAAGCCCTTATGAATAACTCTATTGTATGAATGCTTCTCCACACCACCACAGTTTCCCTACACATGTGCCTTTGGTCATGGACTCCGTATGTGCTGGGAATGATTGTCTTCTTCCTCTCCCCTTCAGTGTTCCCTGAGTGAACTTCACTTCATCGATCAGATTGCAGACCAAAAGCTACTCTCTCAGTCCTTACAGTCTTACAACACTGTAATTTCTTCCACCATCATTGCCATTACCATCATCACAATTTCCATTATCACCACTGTCATCACCACCATCGTCATCATCACCATCATCATCACAATTTCCATTATCACCACTGTCATCACCACCATCGTCATCATCACCATCATCATCACAATTTCCATTATCACCACTGTCATCACCACCATCGTCATCATCACCATCATCGTCACCAATTTCAGTATCACCACCATCTTCATCCCCATTATCACTACCACCATCACCATGGCAATGAAAACATATGAGCATTATCATTACAAGGGCTTTATATGGATTATCTACTTTAATTCTCATGAAAACCCCAGAGACAGTACTTTTATTAACCCATATTTACAGGTGTATGAACTCAGCAACTTGCCATAGCACATTTCTGTGATTCTGTGATTACTGTCTACCCTTTCCAGTAGACTACAAGCTTCATGTGAGCTAGGGTTGTTCTTGTTTTTGCTCATCACTCTGTGCCTGGCACACAGTAAGTGCTTAGCGAGTATTCACAGAATGGATAGATACTGAATCCATCAATAGGCAAATACATGTCCAGCACCTACCACAACCCCAGCCTTGTGGTGGGTACAGTGAAAGACAGGAAACACTATAAACGACAGGCTTTATCTTCTAGGAACTCATAGTCTGACTGGGCAAATATGATACAGGCACATATAACCATAGGTTAAATGAGTTTCGAGGAACTTCTGGAAAAATGGGGACTAGGGCAAGGGTGAAAAGCCAGCATGCTGTGGACTTGGTTGGTGGTCAGGGATGGCGTCATGGATGAGGCAGGGCTTGAGTCAGACTAGGAGGGGTGCAGGGAGGAGAGAAAAATGGACATTCTAGACAGAAAACAGACTCATCAGAGATCTGGGGAGCAGACCAGTTTGGCTTAATTGGGAGATTGCTCTGGGCAGATGACACAGATTGAAAAGGTCATACATTTTTAATAAAGATAACATCCACACAATGTAAAATAACAAGAGACCAAGAAATGATTTTATGATGAAGGGGATCTAAGTGTCTCGAGGAAGAGCTGCCTTTTCTATTTTCCACAAAGGCGCTGTGTGGATTGCTACAGGCAGCACCGAGTGCCTACTCCATGCAGGCTCCATGCAGACTGGAGGGGGATCAGGGGCTCTGCTGTAACAGCAGTGGTTTAAAATTAAGCATTTAAGGTGTACAGTTTAGTGGAATTAGTTCATTAACAATGTTGTCCAACTGTCACCTCTGCCTGGCTTCAAAACATTTCATCAGCCCCCAAAAGAAAACCCCATACACATTACACAGCCACTCCCCATTCATGCTAGCCCCTGATAACCATCAGTCTGTCTTCTGCCTCTATGGATTTACCAATTCTAGATATTTCATATAAAGGCAGTCATACAATATATGGCCTTTTGTGTCTGCATCTTTTGCTTCGCATAATGTTTTCCAGGTTCATCCATGCTGCAGCAGGTATCGGTGCTCCATGCCTTGTTTTTGCCTGCTCAGCATCCATTTATGATTTTTCTGGGAACCACATTTTGCTTTACTTTGGACTCATCCTTAAATCTCAGTTTACTTGGGTCTGTATCCTCACCCTAGCACCAGGGGGTGGGAACATGACCCAGGATGGATCAGAGCATCCCATCTGTCTGGCCTCCATAATCAATTCAGGGATGGGCCAGCAATGCAAGCTGGGTCTGAGACTAGGTCTTGGATTGTTGCTGGAGTTAGTGAGAAGGAGGGGCTTTTCTATGAGATTTCTGGCAGGGAGGATGTCAGCCTAGGGCTGCTGGTAGCCATCTCATCACCATGAATATAGAGGTTGTCTGACAATGGAGCAAACTGGAAATAGGAGACAGAAAGACACAGTGCCAAGCGCTTGATGGGTTCACTTGAGATTCTGGATCTCACTGTGCCTGACCCTCTCCCAGACTTGTGTGTTATGTGCTTAAGGCATTTTTGAGATGAGATTCCTCACTTGCATTTGAAAAAGTCCTAATACATGCCTGAATGATTTCAACTTAATCACAACCATGATGTGTGGGGAGGTTCTTAGGCTCCAGACAGGGCAGGTAGCCAGGGCTGTGGCACAAAAATGCTTCCTCTTCCACTGAGCCAGTCTGCTCAGAGTTCTAGAGCTGTCTGCATTTCTGCAACAGACCTCGTTACTCTGTCTTCAGACTGGAGTTACCTGTCTCCTCGCAGGTAGCCTTTATTCTCACTACAACACACTTTGGCTCTGGACTTTGTGCCTCCCTTCCAGGTCCTAGGACAGTGCAGGTCAGCTGCTCAAGAAAAGTCTACTGTGATGAGGAGACTTCAGGGTTTGGAAGCTGAAGATGGTCCTGCCCTGGTAGTCACGCTGAATTCCAGAAAGAATTCCCTCTCACCGGGCTTCCCACAAATCCACTGACATTCACTCAGGGGAATTACTTGAAACCTCATTAGTAAACCTACATTCTTAGCATTTCTTTTCTGCATGAGCAGAAAACCCACCTCTAGACATTGGCTACTATGGAAGATAATGACATAGTACACCTAAGTCATCACAAAATGGATGATGGTGTAATGAAATGGCGATGACGGTAACGCTGGCAGGGAACAGACTTAATTCGGCTGAAATGTGCTTTTCATCTGTGGGGCAGTGTGGTTTTACCTGTCACCAGCTGGGTGACTTCAAAATGTTAAGGAGTCCTCTCTGAGTCTCAGTTTCTTTCTTGGTAAAATACAAAGTTGGTCTAGATATGGGTTGTAAAGTTAGATCCCTACAGGGCGGTCAGACAGATAATGGAAGCGTGTGAAGCAGCCTGAATACGAAAAAACAAGGACTGATGAAATTAGCAGAGAAGTGAAGAACACACATTCTGAAATGCACTTCCACTCCTTTAAAATAAAAAAGCATTTCTGGTTGAATAAAACATCTCTCTAGGATGAATCCAGCCCATAAGCCATCGGTCCAGTCACAATAATCCTGGGTTAGGTAATTCCCAAGGTACTCTCCAGCTTTGACATTCTATAAGTCACATTGTTATACTCAGGAAAAGGGCATGGGGCAAGCAATACATCTCATATGGATACACGGGAGCCCAGAGAAGACTGGCAACTTTTCTAAGGACACACAGAGGACTCAACACAAGGGTAGAACCAATCAAAAGACCCAGCTGTCCTATGTCACGGGTCTTGCTCTTTCTCTAACACATCTTTCCACATGCAAAATCTGAGCTCATTAGCAAAGCCATGTTCTTGCTACAGAGCAGTCCTCTCTGTGTCTCAGTTTCCCCCTTGGTAAAATACAAAATTGGGCTAGGTCTGGGTTGTGAAGTTAAATCCCTATAGGGGTCAGACAGACAATGGAAGACAGATAATCCAAGCTCATTAGCAAAGTCATGTTCTTGCTGGGAAGGAACTCAGCGAAGATTTTTTGTAATACAGTATTAACCCACTGAAATGTAACTGAGCTCTAACTGGGTCATCAAAGGAAGCCCCTGAGTTTAGGAAAATAAAACCCTGCCTTGACTCTGGCTAGTGCTAATTATACAAAAATGTCCAGTCGATGCACTTAACCATGCTTGAAACTTTCAATTTTAGATAATTTGTATTCAAACTTACATGGTTACCAGACTAACCATGAGAGACAGACAGAGAAGAAATACAGGTGAGAGGACTAGCAAAATTTTTCTTTCCAGTTTTTAATTTCATGTTCCATTATATGGGATAATAGCATCGTCTTGCAATTTTAATGTGATGTCCCGGACCATAATATTCAAATACAATATTTATGCAGTCATCTCCAAAATGAAATATTCATGGGATTGGGAGATGGGTTGCTGTATTTATCACATTCAAAAACTGATATGCTGCAAACGCATGCTTTGGTTAACTAAGAGTAAATGGAGACAACCAATTCCCTAGGTCTCAGAAAAGTTTCTGGAGTCACAGGGGTGAATGGGGACTTAAGTCTTGGACTAGGAGATGGTGGCAGAGGCCCAGCAACAGGGTATCTACCAGGGGAGAGGCATCAGCTGTTTGGGCAGGGATTTGCATTTTTTCTTCCCTTTCTTTACCATAACTTGAAAAGGTAAAATTGGAAGGCAAGGTAAGTCAGTGAACACCTGAGTGACTTTTTATAAAATATGGCTCACCAACAAGGGGCGCATGGCTCTCTCACCTGAGGCGTGAAGCACAGATCTGTAGCAATAAGCCCCATATACAAAAGGTGACCAATGATACGCTCTTCCTTTTCATTTCCCATTGAGTAGGTTACCTGGGGCAACTGGGGCAACAGGTGACACTACAGCAAACAGACATTGGGTGATCTAGGTACTAATCCTGCCTCTGCATTCACAGGCTATGAGATGTGGGGCTGGCTTAACCTCTCTGAATGCCAGTTTCCTCATCTGTAAGATAAGCCCCATGACACCTGTGTCTTGACAGCCTCCTGAATCAGCTGCAAAGTGTGATGGATGATGCTTCTCACAGGGCCTTGCAAAGTGTTTAGTAAGCGCTGTTCACCCAAGCAATGAACCGACTCAACCATCAATCCCTTCTTACCTAAGGATGACATCCCTCCCCCATGCCTGGCATCCTCAATCCTCCTTTCATGCTTTGTATTTCTCCACAGGACTTTTCACTTTCTAACACAATATACAAGATATTTATTTAGTCTGTTGTCTATTTCCACTCACTAGATGTAAGCTGCAAGATGGCAGAGATTTTTGCCTATTTTTGTTCACTGCTGTATCCCTACTGCTTACATCAGTGCCTACCATACAACTGGTGCTTAATAAATATTTACTGAAAAAATGAATAAAAAGAAGGGTAACAGCCACACCTGTTGGGCAATCAGGCAGTCACAGACTTTCGTTAACTAGGTATTGGATCCTTCTAACACACATTTAACAGAAAAGAAAATTGAAGCTCAGAAAAGTTATGTAACTTTCCCAAGGTCACACAGCCAGAAGTCTTGAATTTAAATGCAGGTCTAGCTGGATCCAATGCAAGCTCTTAACTACTCTGCCATCTTTGATGCCCTGATTCACCATAGTCCCACCAAAAAGATAGAAAGAACGGATCTGTGATCTTCTAATGCTTGAAAAAGACAATGCCCAGAAATGAGAGAGAATCAAAAGAGAAGGGCTTATTGTTGGCTTTGGAAGAATCTTTCTGCCAGACCTCTGGAAGATATCTGTCTTCTACCTGAGGTCAAATATGAAATCATTTGCATTCAGTTTTACTTCCTAGGCTATGAGGAAGGGGCAGCTCACCTTCCTGATATTTTTACCTATTAGCACACTAAGGAAAAAGTCACAGCTAAATATGATCCTATTGGGACATCCCAGGGACCAAATCTACTCAGCTGAGCATCAAAGTAAATCAGACAGAGGGTGGGAAGAAGTCCTGATTCTCCCCCATGGGAGAAGAAGTCAGTTAAAAAAACATCTGTGGCTTTTGGAAATAATGTCAGAAAGGTGGATAACAAAGAAGTTTCTCAATTCAGTTAATTCACTGGCTACAATCTTGGTATATTCATCAAGTATGGAATTATTCCAGAATTAAGCTGTCCCACTGTAAGTTTTAGAAGGAATAACTCTGCTCTTCAAGTTTACAGCATGTCTGAGCAAGAAGGAATCTTCACAAGCAGCTAATATAGCTAATGCTACAAATTAAAAAAAAAACAACCTGAGAATGAAAGTACAAATGATACATCCAAAGTCACAATGCCTAGAAAAAATAAAATCTCCCCCTTTTCTGTTTTCCTGTCTGGTAATCTGTCATTGAATCTAGATTACTCCTTCAGCATAAGTACAACCTAAGGATTTTAGTTAAAAAATAAAGTCATGGAATAAATCATATAGACCCACAATGCATGAAATCAGTCAGCTATGTGAACAGGCTCACACATCTCTTCCTAGGCTCTCAGGAAAGGGCAGTTTAGCTGCCTGAGATTTTTCTCTACTGGCACAAAGTCACAGCTAAATATTATTCTATTGGGATGCAGTGGCAAGATTTTGAGTCCTGGAATCAGATTACTTGGCCCAAGTCTTGTGTCTTCTACTAACCTTAGGCAACTTTAATCATATGGTACTTTGGTTTCTCACAGGGGAAATGGTGATCATAATAGCTAATTCACAGAGCTGGTGTGATGATTCAAATGAGATTGTATACAGGGAGGGCTTAGCACATAGTAAGGGCTCCATAATGTCCATTACGATGCTTTATGTTTTTTTCCTTTATCAGGGTGAATTTCTATCTGTCCTATTCTCTCTTCTGGGATTTGGTAGACAGGTACATAGGACACCTCCACAGCTAAGAAGAAATCCTTTAGTCTGGCAGAGCAATGATATTTCAGCACCAAGGACAGAAGTCCTTGTTTTAGTTGTGCAATAGCCATGATTGTGGCATGAAGGTGACAAGTGTCCTGGCCATCCTTCTAATTCTGTCCAAGCTCTGGATGAGCTCGCGAGGATTCAGCTCCCTGATTTTGAAGTTTGGCAGTTCCTCAGGGCCCCTGCTAGCCATTTCTCTCAGGCCCACGGTAGGCTGTGCCCCTTCTGGGCCTGAGCTGGAGTCAATTGTTATTCCTCTATCCTACAGTAGCTGGAAGATCAAGAATGCTTGAGGAATTCATTCCTTTAGCAGCACTAGAGAGCACCTTCGATATTCCAGGCTCTGCTCTATGCACTGAGAAAATGGTTTTAAATAAAATGGACATCACCCCGCCCTTCTCTCTCTTCTAGGCAAGACAAAAAGCGTAAATAATAACAGCTACCATTTATTGAGCGTATACTACATTCTAGGCTCTGTTCTATGCACTTAATATATATTCTTCTGTTTAGAATTCACTGCAACCCCATGAGGGCTCATTTTACAAATGAAGGAACAGAGACACAGAAAGGTTAAGTAAATTTCCCAAGACCCACACAGCTGGTGAGTGGCAATGAGGGGAATCAAGCCTTAGTGTCAGGCTCTGCATTCCACACTCTAGCCACAAGGTTCTAATAAGTAAGTAGACATCGAGAAATATGAAACACAAATATAAAATTACATGCTATATAGGAACAAATATGGGGGTAATGATAGAAAATAAAGAGACAGGGACTTAATTAGTGGAGATCATTGGGGAAGGCTTCACTGAGGAGCAGGTGGCATGCAAGCTCAAAGAGAAGGAATCAGTCCTCTAAGGAGTTATGGGGAAGGCCTTTATGAGTGACAGAAAATTGAAAGTGCAAGGGCCCTGTGGCTGCCAAAGGAAGCTACAGGGAAGTCCTCAGCTTCAGAACCTCACTTCATAGGGGCCGACTTGATCTGATTGGTGGAAGGGACATACCACCCACAAGTCCACGTGGCTTGGATATGGAGGGAAACTCCGCAGTCAGCACCCTTAGGGAGTCAGTGCAGCATGGTGGTTAAGCACCCTGACTTCAGGCTGGGCGTGGTGGCTCACGCCTGTAATCCCAGCACTTTGGGAGGCCGAGGCAGGCGGATCACTTGAGCTCAAGAGTTTGAGACCAGCCTGGACAACATGGCGAAACCCCATCTCTACTGAAACTACAAAAATTAGCTAGGCATGGTGGCACATGCCTGTAATCCCAGCTACCTGGGAGACTGAGACACGAGAATCGCTTGTACCTTGCAGGTGGAGGTTGGAGTGAGCTGAGATTGCACTCCAGCCTGGGTGATGGAGCGAGACTCTGTCTCAAAAAGAAAAATAAAAAGAACCCCAACTTTGGAGTCACTCTGCTTGGCTTCAAGTCTGTCTCGCCACCTATGAGCTGTGTGTTATTTAATCTTTCTAGCCTCAGTGTCCCCATCTGGAAAATGGGCACGATGATGATCGCATTTATGTCATGGGGTTGTTGTAGAAAGAGTGAATATCTGTAAGGTGCTTAGGATAATCAGTGGCACATGTACCAGTTATTATTGCTGCCCTGTGTGGAGAAAGCTGACTTAGGTTTGACATTCAAGGATGATGATTAGTTCAATGTCAGAAAAGGGGAGCTAGGGAGGCAGCTCAGATGCCATCCCGGCCTCCAATAGGAGAATGCTGCCTCTGGCAGATGGGGTTCAGGCCAGAGAAGAGAGAGAAACTTCTCTATACCACTTCTGACCTGGGGCTGGAATCTACCTGCCTGGCTTTCTTATATTTCCCAAGGAGGGCAGAAAAAGAAGCTCAAGTAGAAATGCAGAGTCAGTGGCCTGAATCCTGAGGCTGGAGTACCTGGGCTTGGTGGCTCACATTCTTCACAGGGCTCACGTCACTGAATCAGCTTGCATCGCCAAGCGTCTAAAGGTCTGTTGAGGGCTAATTGGTTTTCCACATTTCATGTATTTTTGAAAACATTGTTTACTGCCTTTTTTCTGATTATAAAAGGAATGCATAGCCTTGATAGATGGTTTGGAACATAAAAAAATGCAAAGAAGAAAATAAAAATCATACTCTACCTTTCAGAGATGACACTGGGAATGTACTTCCCCTCTAGTCTTTTGTCTAACTTCTTTGTGTATTGTTTGGAAAGAAGAAAAGTTCTAAAGATGACCTAAAAACACACGCTGAGGCCCAGGGAGGTATGTGTGTGCAGTTTTGTGTGGGTGCCTACATAATGCCAGACTTTATTTTGACGTGGCTGCTATAATTGGATTAAATAAAGTGAACATGCAAACAGTCATGAACGCATCGGTTGGGTTTAAGGAAAGCAAAAGAGAAATGCAATCTGCTTTCCCTATTGGAGATGAGATATTAATGATCTCCTTGCATCAGTCATGGAGCTACAAGTTAGCCAGAAACAGAGCTCTTCTCTCAATAAGCAAGCTGGCACCAAAGGCCTTCCCGAATGCGGATTTGCCTGGAGGAGGTTCCTGGCCAGGCTCTCGACTGATTTGCCAACTTTTGTTTAAACATTTGCTTGTTTATACATCAAAGGAGGTTTGGGTCTGATGATTAGTTCAATGTCAGAAAAGGGGAGCTAGGGAGGCAGCTCAGATGCCATCCCGGCCTCCAATAGGAGAATGCTGCCTCTGGCAGATGGGGTTCAGACCAGAGAAGAGAGAGAAACTTCTCTATACCACTTCTGACCTGGGGCTGGAATCTACCTGCCTGGCTTTCTTATATTTGAAATGATAGCTGTTTCTCTTACTATGCTTTGCCTTACTTTAAGCATAATACCCATAAATCATGGGTTGGAGTGGCTAATTTTATAAATTGTTGTCGATACATATAAGGTCAATACCTAACTTTCATCACATGCCCACTTATAAAGGGCCCAAAAGAATCTCCCATGTCCCCAGTGGACATGAGAGTTATTGAACATAAGAGTTATTGAACATTTTTGTAACATCTTAATTATGTGTATATTATCATCAAGATTCTTCTCATATCAACAACACCATCATTATCACCACTACTACCACCACCATTGTGATCATCATCAACTTAATAGGCGCAACTAACTGTCCCCAAGGGCTTTTCCATATATTAATTCTTGCAACAACTCTATGGGATTGGTATGATTATCCTCATTCCCATCTTACAGATGAGAAAACTGATACACAGGTAACTCACGTAACTTACCCAAGGTCACACACTGTGAGTGGGTATTAGAGTTGGCCCGTGAATCTTGACAGTCTGGCTCCAGAGCCTGGATTCTTAACTGCTATGCTATGTGCTTTATGTAGCATCCTATACAAGAGGCCCCTTAATATTCTGCTCTAAGCCAACTTTATTATTTTTAGAGACATGATCTCGCTTTGTCACCCAGGCTGCAATGCAGTGGTGCAAGCCTCAAACTCCTGGCCTTAAGCGATCCTCCTACATCAGCCTCCCAGGATGCTGGGATTACAGGTGTGAGCCACTGTGCCCGGCCTCTAAGCTAACTTTAAATAGCTTCAACTGTTTTCTTTCAATGTAGCCTTATTCGAAGCATAATATCCATAAGTCATGGTTGGAGCAGCTAATTTTATAAATTTGTTGATACACATAAGATCAATACCTAACTTTCATAGCATGCCCACTTATAAAGGACCCAAAAGAATCCCCCATGTCCTGGTGGCACATAAACACACTTTGCAAAATGCTGACCCTAGGAAGTAGGGGAAGGACCTACCCTCACCCATGCAAAAAGATAATTCTATTTACATTCAGCAGGATTTTCTTTCATCTGCACACCTCGAGAGCGTAAACCTGCAGGTCCTCTCAAATGCAGTCACTATGGAGTAATAAAAGAACACAGGCCTTAAAGTCAGACGGAACCAGGTTCCATCTCAGCTCTGTCGTTCACTAGCTGTAGGGCCTTGAGTAAGGTAAAGCGACTCTCAAACCTCAGCTGTATTCATTTCTGAAATGGGGTAACACCTGCTAAATGAAGGTGAAATGAGAAAATGTCCTGGAATGCGCCCAGCGTGGGGCCTTCCTGTGGCCAGTGAGGATGCTCCATCTCCCCAATACCATGATCATTATTTGAATTTTATAAAGATGGAGAAACAGAGGCATGGCCTGTCGAAGCCATTTGCTGACATCCCATGGCTGTGGTATAGAAGAGCTGGCATTTCGACCCAGGTGGCTGGACTCCAGCATCTATGCTCTGGCACTTCACACACTGTGTCCCAGGGCTAACATGGGGGCCCTGGTGACCCTGGATGAAGTGGAGAAATTAGATCAACCAGGGAAGGAAAAGTCTCAGAAAAACTCCGATTTTCACTTTCCAGCTCCCTGGAAGAGGCCTGTCCCCACACACTGAGACTTGAACAGGTTTCAGAGATTTGAAAAACTTCTCTGATGCTCCCTGAGCCAAGGCCAGGGACTTGTAGGGATGTTTCCAAATACCTGATTATTCAGGCTGAGAGTAAACATGCGGCCACCTGCTTCTGCAAGCCCTGCTGAGGCTGCCTGGGAAAATGACAATTGTGCTACCTGTCTTGCAATGTATCTAGTGACTTTACTTTTGGAGGAAAGCAAGGAGAAACAGTGAACACAACCCTCCCCTTCATTTAATAACAGAAACAATCAGGACCAATTTGGCAGCTATTAGAATACTAGTTTGCCTTTATGCCATCTCTTCACAGTGGGAGCCAGAAGTCCAAATTGGCTGCTAAAGGTTGGAGATGAAGACAGAAGGTCAACATTGCTATTAGGAGCTACGTGGAATTAAAAACCGAGGCACCCCGTGGCCTATTCTGTATTTCACTGCTTGCCTTTGTTCATCCCCATCTCTCTGTCTTTCAAGATCTCTGCCTCTGTCACCTCCTCTTTTACCAGGGCTGGTCTGGACACATGAAATACCAGAATGGGAAGGGAATTTGGAGACTTTCTCATGCAACCCCCTTGTTTTTCAAAGGGAGAAAATGAAGTCAAGAGAAGCAGAGTAGCTGCCTCAAAGTCACCAGTGCATTGGAAGAAAGCAGGCCTAGAACACAGAGAGGCTTCATCACGTGAGAATTATGAGCTTGGACTCTGTGAACACTCACTTGGGTGTGAGTCCTCCCCGCTGCCCTAGTGCTGTGAGTTTGAGCAAGTAACTTCATCTTTTTGAGTCTCAGTTCCCTTATCTATAAAAGGAGGCTAATATATTGCCAATAATCCCCACCCAGTGCCAGAAAATTAAACATACACACAGAAAAACAGAACTAATAGAGAGTCTGGGCCTGATGATATAATTTGCACAGCTTGATTTAGCCATACCTGAAGTCAGCCCTAATGTTTTAGTTACCTGATCTGGTAATGTTCTTTACCCTTAAGCTAGTTTGAGCTGGGTTTCTGTCATTTCCCACCAAAAGAGTTCTCCCTAACACATCACCAGTGAAAGAACTTGAGCAAGCCACGCCCAGCTCTGGTCACTTGGGAGGGACCATGGATGATGGGCTATAGGTAGGCTTATTCGTGCAGCAGGTGAGGCCACAGCTAACAAAGAGGGAAGTGGCCAGTGAATGGGACATTGGCTTGTTTTACTATTAAATTAATGCTGAATCACTGCCCTAACTTCCGGTAAATGAGAAAATCCCAGCTGGGGACTCACACGCAAGAGTTGGAAGTTGTGAGCTATTCTGTCAAGAGGCCTTTGGGTTTTAGGGTCTTGGAGGGAGGTGTAAGAAGCATTTCCTCAGCCTGAGACTTCTTTATGTTGTCCCAAGACATCTGGGTACCACCTGTCAATTACGGATGCACATCAATTATACAAAATGTACTCAGGCACCTAGAGGCAAAATTCAGGCCCATTCTCCATCTATTTCTTTCTCCTACCAGCAACAATTTAGTTCTATGCTTATCATAACAATGACATAATCATCACCATCACCATCATCATAAACATTTACTATGCCAAATGCTGTATATGCAGCATCTCATTTAATCTTCTCAATGAATAAATGAGTATAGGTCTATTAATATTTTCAAATATTATGAAACCAGTTCAGAGAGGTTAAGTCACTCGTCCAATGCAACACAGCTAGAACACAGTAGATCAGAATTCCAAACCAGAAGGTGTAACCTCACAGTCCCTGTTTTTAACTTGTGCTATACTCAGTTCCTAGCACAGTGCCTGACAAATAGTGCTCAGAGAATAAATCCTGACTAGGCTGAAATAGTTAATACTAGGGTGGATGTAATTCACACACAAGTTGATACATTTACAATGGGCTCCTTTCTCGAGACACAACTTTGCACAAATCACCTATTAGCTGCTACCTGGAGAAGAAGAAGGGTTTTTCCTTCTCTACCTGAGGGCGAGGAATACCAATGTCTGAGCCACTTCTGACAATTAACCACCTCCATGGAATCCTTGCCCAGCCCCACTTTGCTCCTGCAGCTATGGGGCCAGAAAAACTTGGGTTCAAATTCTAGCATTTAACCAGCTGTGTGATCTTCAGAAAAATCAGGTAAACTCCAGAAGCTTGACAAATGGGGAGAATAATTCTTACAGCTGCATTGAGTGGCTGTGAAAACAAATATGGATCCTATACAAAAAGGGCCCACTTAGTAGGAACACAATACACAGTGGCCATGATTCTTCTTACTCATCCAGCCAGGCCTCTGTACTCTTAGTGGCCTGAGCGTAGTAAACTAATCTGTGCTAATTTACAGAGCATCTTCAAGTTCGGGTGTTGCAGAAAGAGGCCTCCTTTTTAATGTAAAGAAGGTAGGCTGTGAGTAGGGGCAGGAACAATCCATAAATAGCAGAATGAAATCAAAGTTTCAATTTAGAAAAATGATACAACACAAGGATTCTAGGGTTACTTTTTTTTTTTTTTCTATTTTGAGATGGAGTCTCCCTCTGTCACCCAGGCTGGAGTGCAGTGGTACAATCTCCACTCACTGCAACCTCCGACTCCCAGGATCAAGCGATTCTCCTGCCTCAGCCTCCCAAGTAGCTGGGATTATAGGTGTGCACCACCACACCCGGCTAATTTTTGTATTTTTAGTAGAAATGGGGTTTTACCATGTTGGCCAGGCTGGCCTCGAACTCCAGACCTCAGGTGATCCGCCTGCCTCACCCTCCCAAAGTTCTGGGATTACAGGCCTTGAGTCACGGCACCTGGCCAGATTACTTCTTTAAAGCTCAGGAGACGGAGCTACCTGCTTGCTTTTGTTCCTCCCATGCTGTGGATAACTGGGTAAACTGTCACAGAGCCAGCCAAAATGACACTCCCACCAACAACAGCAGTGAAGATTTAAAGCAGAGATTACAAACAGAGATGTGGTCGGGGGCCAGGTTGGGGAACGGGGACAGGCAAGGACCGAGCGACCTAAGATCCAGGAAATAACTGCCATGAGAAAATTCAGGCACAGACTTAATGGACCTTCAGATTTTTTAAGACTGGCTAGAAATCTGGATTTTCATAGGAAATACTGCTGTTTTTAAATGGGGCTATTAATTTTCAAATGAAGCACCTGAATGAAAACAAGACAAAACAAAACACTCTGAGAGCTAAACCATGCACGTTAACAAGCTGAAATGATCCCAAGCACTGCCAGGTTCAATGCTAGAACAAGACCCCGGGATGTCAGAGCCACCCTGGACTGGTGTTTAATGGTGTTTTCTTTTTTTGTTTTCTTTTTTAGATGGAGTCTCACTCTCTTGCCCAGGGTGGAGTGCAGTGGTGCAATCTTGGTTCATTGCAACCTCCGCCTCCCAGGTTCAAGTGATTCTCCTGTCTCAGCCTCCTGAGTAGCTGGAATTACAGGCATGTGCCACCACACCTGGCTAATTTTTGTATTTTTAGTAGAGACAGGGTTTTACCATGTTGGTCAGGCTGGTCTCAAACTCCTGACCTCATGATCTGCCCGCCTCGGCCTCCCAAAGTGCTGGGATTACAGGCATGAGCCACTGCGCCTGGCCTTTAATGGTATTTTCTATTGGAATGAGGAATCCCATCACGTGATGTCACCTACAGGGGGCGCTCAATACTGTATCCCTTCCAGTTGATGGACCATCATGGAGACTTGGGCTCAGCTCAATGCTGAACTGCAGAGATGCTATTTTTTTGACATTGTTCATTTTAAGCGAGAGAGGTGTGAGGGATCTGGGTTGGGGTTCTGGGTGCCTCCCACCCCTGCTGATGTGTTGGACACCAGTGAGGGAGTGAGGAGGACATGGGGCTGGGATCAGGACCCCTGGGTTCAAGTCCATGCTGGTATGACACTCTTTTCCACTACAGGTCAATTCCCTGAGAGGAAGGACTTGGTCTTGTTTGCGGCTAGAACAGCAACTGGCACACGCCCATGCTTGTTAAGTATTTGAATGAGTGGCTGACTGAATGAACGATCTGGGGACGTTGCTTACATTATGGGCCTCAGTCTTCCCATCAATAAAATGAGAATTAACCGTGGGTGCCCTACTGAAAGGGTTGCTGCAATGAGATATTGGACTTGTGGAAGTCCTTGGGGGAAGTAATCAAAAGGGCTGTCACACCATGAGAAACATCTATGGTTATCTTGTCCTTGGCTGACAGAAGGGACTACTTCAGATCCCACGCAGACACAGCGAAGGACAGCTGGTGCCAAGCCTTTCTCCCACCCTCAACCTTTCTGTGGCTGCATGAAACCAGCCTAGAAAATTCCCCAAATGATCACTCAGATTTTCATTTCCATTTTGTACAGGGGTAGGGGTTGAGGTGCTACCTTGCATTGTCCCGGCCGTGTGACTTCAAGAAATTCATATCTCGGTATC